>NC_000002.12:52008534-52311564 GCF_000001405.40 Homo sapiens
TGGGAGCGGCTGCCACCATCTTGGGAGCTCTAAGAACAAAGACCCACCAGTAACAATATGGAAAACAGAAAAAAAGACTTAAATAGACATATATAGTATGTGTATGTGTGTGTGTTATCAGCCCTTACACATACGAAAAGATGCTCAAATTCAATCACAAATCCTGGAATTTTAAAAAGTAAGACACTAAGAAACTATTTTCTCTCCCATCAGATTGCCGAAAGTCAGCAATTATTTGAAACATTGATTTACATTCCCTCTAGGACTTAGTATTTTTAGAATGCTTCAATTCTGTCAATTGATAAGTATAAAATAGTAACTTATTTTGGTCTTTTTTCTGATTGCTTTTTTCTGATTGCTTTTGGGATTGAATCGTTTTCTTATTTTTATTAGCCATACATATTTCCTCTTTAATGACTGTTTATGGACTTTTGGCCATTTTTATTCTTTTCCTTATGTATTATAAGCATTTACTAGAACACTAAAACTTTTGAGCGTTATATCCATTGAAATTATCCCCTTCCACTTTCTAGCTCTATTTCTTCACTCTAGCTCAAGTGTTCATGGTCAATTCTTACCTTTAAAATATTCAGATTTGTTAATCTTTTAAGGTTAGTGCTTTTTATGTGTGGTTTAAGAAAACTTCCCAATGTCTAAATTAAAAACATATATAATTTCTTGGGTTTTAATATTTTTATTTTGACATTTAAGTAGAGTGGTTGGGTAAAATACAGGACATGAGTTATATTTGATTTCAGATAAATGACAAAGAGCTTTTTAGTGTAATTATGACCCGACTATTACTTGGAAAATGCCCATACAAAAAATGTATCTGAAATTCAAATTTAACTACTATAGTTTATTTTTGCTTCCTAATACTGTCAACTCCACATTTAAATTCTTAATTCCTTTCTCCCTCTGTCTCTTTCTCTCTCTCTTCTGTTTCTGTGTTGTGTTTGTGTAATATAAGGTAGAGTCTGATTTTCATTTTTTCACCTTTGTATACTATTTTTCCTGCTTTATTTGTCATCAGTTCCTTTTTCTCTAGTTGTCTGACATGCTAAATTTGAAGTCAATACTAGTTCCTATGTTAGTCTATTTTTGCATTGTAATAAAGAAATAGCTGAGGCTGAGCAATTTACTTAAAAAAAGTTTAGTTGGCTCACAGTTCTGCAAGCTGTACAGGAAGCATGGTGCTGCCATTTGCATCTGGTGAGAGCCTCAGGGAGCTTACAATCATGCCAGAAGGCAAAAGAGGAGCCAGCACATCACATGGTGAGAGTCAAGCAGGAGAAGAGAAGGGGCGGTCTGGACTTTTGTAAACAGCCAGAACTTGCATAATCTAACTGAGCAAGAGAACTCATTCATCACCAGGTGGATGGCACTATGCCATTCATGAGAAATCCACCCCCATGATTCGGTACCTCCCACTAGGCCTCATCTTCACATTGTGGATCATATTTCAACATGAGATTTGGAGGGGACAAATATCCAAACCATATCAGTTCCATATATTTTAATTTAACAATACAGAGGTAGATTGTCTAGGCTGGTAGGGATGTTACCATCCTCAACTCTTGTCTTCACATTTTGTCCAAATGACTGATCCAACTCTTTGTGAAGTCTGTACCTAGAGTGGCAGGAATGAATAAAAAAAGGGAAAGTATATCCACATTCATTTTAAGACCATGCATTCGAAGGGAAACACATCATTTCTATTCATATACTGCTACCCAGCATGTAATCACATGGCCACATCTGGACAGAAAAGAGGCCATGAAACATTAGCTGTAGAGTCAATCCTTATTCAACTCTATCATGTAGAAGTAGGGGAAAATGACTTTTGGAAAACGGTAATAATCTCAATCACAGTCTTCTTTTTACAGTATCTTTTGTGACACCAGGGAATACCTGTAAGCCCATATTTCACTTAAAAATCTATTATCTCAGATTCAAGAAACACACTCTCATATCAGCATGGCATTTATACCTTGTAACTTCTAGGTAAGTAATCATTTCAGAAACATTTCACATCTTAAAGTTAACTGAGGTAAGAAGCAGCATCCATAATCTGGCCCTTAAAACTGTACAAGCATGATTCTCTCTAGAACTTTGCCTCTTTTACATTTTTTTAAATGTATGATGTTTCCAGATCAGACACACTCCAATGACAGCTGATAATTAGATTTCTAAATACTGTAATTTTATCTCACGCTGAGCTCTGTCTATCTTATCAATGTAAATTATTTGCAAAGCTGGTATACCTAATCTCATTAAATAAAAACTATCTTTTTTATTGAAGCAACTAAAAACTTAGATGTTTATAAAAGCTCTCTCATAGGGTTTGAAACAAAATACAACATGGGTTTCAAATAAGATGTATTTTGTTTGAAACCTACTTAACTGTATTCATTCTACTGCCAAAATTACTCTTTAGAATCAGGGATTTTTCCCTCTGTGATTGAATTTATCAACTGATAACAGCTCAAAGAACATAATGAAATGACTTCTTCTGAACACTTAAATCTGAGGCTTACATGCTCAAATGAACATATTTTAAATGTCATCATTTTCACTTTTAAATATTTACTACAAAGATGATACTGTGCTAGACATCATGATAAATATGGAAATGACTCTTAAATCATACCAAATATCCAAGTTACTCATGTGAAATCAATAGGTTTTAGATGGCCAACTATTATAAGAGAGGTAGTAATTGCAATGTGGTGAGAGTGAGAGATTATTTGTGGCTTTGAAGGTATCTTGGGGAAAATGCAATTTGAAGAGGGTGTTGAATGATTGATGCATAGGATGTGATATGGAAAATGTTCATGACCTTCTAAATCAGAATTTTATAAAATCTCTTCCATGCCCTAGTAATTAAAAGAGCAGATAATGCCTAGACAAGTTATCAAAATGAGGTAAAGAAATCCTCACCCACCAAACATCACATCATGGGATTAATTTTATTTTGGCATTGGAAATGTTATTTTACACCAATTCTTGGTATTTATACAAAATTTAATTAAATCACTATCAAAAATGTTTAAGAAAATGGAATACATATTGAAGGGTTAACTTATTTGGATAATCTTGCATCATAATTGACAATGTAATAGTATTAAAAGTATCCGTCTTTAGAGGATTATTTTATTTTGAAAATATCTTTATTTCACCTTTATGTTTGAAAGACATTTCATTAGATTAGGATTCTAGAATAACAGGTTTTTTTTTTTTTCTTTTAGACCTTTAAAGTTGTCATTCCCTTGCTCTGTGGCCTCTATTACTTCTGACAGATAGTTGTCCATTTACTTATTTATTTATTTATTTATTTATTTATTTATGTATTTGGTTACATGAGTAAGTTCTTTAGTGGTGATTTGTGAGACTTTGGTGCACCCAACACCTGCGTAGTATACACTGCACTGTATTTTTAGTTGTTTATCCCTTGTCCCTCTCCCACTCTTTCCCCAAGTCTCCAAAGTGCATTGTATCATTCTTATGACTTTGTGTCCTCATAGCTTAGCTCCCACATGTCAGTGAGAACATATGATGTTTGCTTTTCCATTCCTGAGTTACTTACTTCACTTAGAATAATAATATTCAATCTCATCCAGCTTGCTGCAAATGTCAATTCGTTCCTTTTTATGGTTGCATAGTATTCCATTGTACAACTATACCACAGTTTCTTTATCCACTTGTTGATTGATGGGCATTTCTGTTGGTTCCACGATTTTGCACTTACCAGCTGTGCTGCTATGAGTGTGCAAGGATCTTTTTCATATAATAACTTATTTTCCTCTGGGTAGATACCTAGAAGTGGGATTGCTGGATCAAATGGTAGTTCTACTTTTAGTTCTTCAAGGAATTTCCACACTGTTTTCCATAGAGGTTGTACTAGTTTATATTCCCACCAGCAGTATAGAAGTGTTCCGTGATTACCACATCCACTCCAAAATCTACCGTTTCTTGAGTTTTTGATTATTGCCATTCGTATAGGAGTAAGGTGGTCTCAGTGTGGTTTTGATTTGCGTTTCCCTAATCATTAGCGATGTGGATCATTTTTTCATGGTTTTTGGACATTTGTATATCTTCTTTTGAGAATCGTCTATTCATGTCCTTAGCAAACTTTTTGATAGGATTGTCTGTTTTTTTCTTACTGATTTGAGTTTGTTGCAGATTCTGGATATTAGTCTGTTGTCAAATGTATATGTTGGGAAGATTTTCTCCCACTCTGTGGGTTGTCTGTTTACTCTGCTGACTGTTTCTTTTGCCAAGAAAAGCTCTTTCGTTTGATTAAGTCCCAACTATATATTTTTGCTTTTGTTTTGGTTTTTTTTTGGTTTGGTTTGGTTTTTTTGAGGTGGTGCTATCTCAGCTCACTGCAAGCTCCGCCTCCTGGGTTCAAGCAATTCTCCTACCTCAGCCTCCCAAGTAGCTGGGATTACAGGCGTATGCCAGCATGCCCAGCTAATTTTTGTATTTTTAGTAGAGATGAGGTTTCACCATGTTGGCTAGGCTGGTCTCAAACTCCTGACCTCAAGTGATCTGCCTGCTTCAGCCTCCCAAACTGCTGGGATTACAGGGCGAGCCACTGCGCCTGGTCTATCTTTCTTTTTATTGCATTTTCTTTTGGGTTCTTGGTCATTAAATAAATCCTTGCCTAAGTCAATGTCTAGAAAGGTTTTTCCAATGTTATCTTCTAGAGTGCTTATAGTTTCAGCTCCTAGGTTTAAGTCTTTGATCCATCTTGAGTTGATTTTTGTATAAGGTGAGAGATGAGGATACAGTTTCATTCTCCTCCATATGGCTAGCCAATTATCCCAGCACCATTTGTTGAAAAGGGTGTCCTTTTCCCATTCTGTGTTTTTGTTTGGTTTGTCAAAGATCAGTTGGCTGTAAGTATTTGGCTTTATTTCTGGGTTCTCATTCTGTTCCATTGGTTTATGTGCCCATTTTTATACCAGTACCATGCTGTTTTGGTGACTATGGCCTTGTAGTACAGTTTGAAACCAAGTAGTGTCATGCCTCCAGATTTGCTCTTTTTGCTTAGTCTTGCTTTGGCTATGAGGGTTCTTTTTTGGTTTCATATAAATTTTAGAATTGTTTTTTCTAACTCTGTGAAGAATGATGGTGGTATTTTGATGGGAATTGCATTGAATTTGTAGACTGCTTTTACCAGTATGGTTATTTTCACAATATTGATTCTACTTATCCATAAGCATGAGTTGTGTTTCCCTTTGTTTGTGTCATCTATTTCTTTCAGCAGTGTTTTGTAGTTTTCCTTGTAGACGTCTTTCGACTCCTTGGTTAGGTATATTCCTAAGTACTTAATTTTTTTTGCGGCTATTGTAAAAAGGGTTGACCTGTTTATTTGTTTCTCCGCTTGGTCACTGTTAGTGTATAGAAAAGCTACTGATTTGTGTACATTAATGTTGTATCCAGAAACTTTGATGAGTTCTTTTATCAGCTCTAGGAGCTTTCCGGAGGAGTCTTTATGGTTTTCAAGGTAAACAATCATAGCGTCAGCAAACAGGAACAGTTTGACTTCCTGTTTACCGATTTGGATGTCCTTTATTTCTTTCTCTTGTCTGACTGCTTTGGCCAGGACTTCAGTACTGTGTTGAAGAGGAATGGTGAGAATGGGCATTCTTGTCTTGTTCCAGCTCTCAGAGGGAATGCTTTCAACTTGTCCCCGTTCAGCATTATGTTGGCTGTGGGTTTGTTATAGATGGTTTTTATTACATTGAAGTATGTCCCTTGTATGCCAATTTTGCTGAGAGTTTTAATCATAAAGTCATGCTGGATTTTGTTGAATGTTTTTTCTGCATCTATTGAGATGCTCATGTGATTTTTGTTTTTAATTCTGTTTATGTGGTGTATCACATTTATTGACTTGCCCATGTTAAACCATCCCTGGATCCCTGGTATGAAACCTACTTGATCATGGTGGATTATCTTTTTGATATGTTGTTGGATTAGGTTAGCTAGTGTTTTGTTAAGGATTTTAGCATCTATGTTCATCAAGAATATGAGTCTGTAGTTTTCTTTTCTGGTTATGTCCTTTCCTGATTTCGGTATTAGAGTGATGCTGGCTTCATAAAATAAACTAGGTAGGGTTCCTTCTTTCTTTATCTTGTGTAATAATTTCAAAAGCATTGGTACCAATTCTTCTTTGCATGCCTCATAGAATTCTGCTGTGAATCCGTCTGGTCCTGGGCTTTATTTTGTTGGTAATTTTTTAACTACCATTTCAATCTTTGTGCTTGTTATTGGTCTTTTCAGGGTATCTAATTCTTTCTGATTTAAGCTAGGAGGGTTGTATTTTTCCAGGAATTTATCCATTTCTTCTAGGTTTTATAATTTATGTGCATAAAGATGTTCATAGTAGCCTTGAATGATCTTTTGTATTTCAGTGATGTCAGTTGTAATATCTCCTGTTTCTTTTCTTAATGAGATTATTTGTATTTTCTCTCTTATTTTCTTGGTTAATCTTGCTAATGTCTATCAATTTTATTTATCTTTTCAAAGAACTAGCTTTTTGTTTCATTTATCCTTTGTATTGATTTTGTTTTCAATTTCATTTAGTTCTGCTCTGATCTTGGTTATTTCCTGTCTTCTGCTGGGCTTGGATTTGGTTTGTTCTTGTTTCTCCAGTTCCTCGAGGTGTGACCTTAGCATGTTAGTTTGTGCTCTTTCAGTCTTTTTGATGCAGGCATTCAGGGCTATGAACTTTCCTCTTAGCACTGCCTTTGCTGTATCCCAGAGGTTTTGATAGGTTGTGTCATTATTATTGTTCAGTGTAAAGCTTTTAATTTCCATCTTGACTTTGTTTTTGACCCAATGCTGATTCAGGAGCAATTTAATTTCCATGTATTTTCATGGTTTTGAAAGTTCCTTTTGGAATTGATTTCCAGTTTTATTCCACTGTGGTCTGAGAGACTGTTTGATACAATTTCAATTTTCTTAAATTTATTGAGGCTCGTTTTATGGCCTATCATATGGTCTACCCTGAAGAAAGTTCCATGCACTGTTGAATAGGATGTGTATTTTGTGGTTGTTGGGTGAACTGTTCTATATATATCTGTTAAGTGTATTTGTTCCAAGGTATAGTTTAAATCCATTTTTTATTTCTTGACTTTCTGATCACTGTCTAGTGCTGTCAGTGGAATACTGAATTTCCCCACTATTACTGTGCTGCTATCTCATTTATTAGGTCTATTAGTAATTGTTTTATAAATTGGGGAGCTCCAGTGTTAGGTGCATATATATTTAGGTTTGTGATAGTTTCCTGTTGGACAAGGCCTTTTACCATTATATAACATTCCTCTTTGTCTCTTTTAACTGCTATTTGTTTTGTCTGATATAAGAATAGCTACACCTGATCGCTTTTGGTGTTTATTTGCATGAAATACCTTTTTCCACCCCTTTACTTTATGTGAGTCCTTATGTGTTAGGTTAGTCTCCCTAAGGCAGAAGAAAGCTGTTTGGTGAGTTCCTATGTATTCTGCATTTCTGTATCTTCAAGTGGAGCATTTAGGCCATTTACATTCAATGTTAGTATTGAGATGTGAGGTACTATTGCATTCATTGTGCTATTTGTTGCCTGTGTACCTTGGTTTTTTGGGGTTTTGTTTTTGCTTTTGAATTTGTGTTTTTGTTTTATAGGTCCTGTGTGATTTATGCTTCAAAGGGATTCTGTTTTGTTGTGTTTCCAGGGTTCGTTCCAAGATTTAGAGTTCCTTTTAGCAGTTCTTGTAATGGTGGCTTGGTAGTGGCTAATTCTCTCAGCATTTGTTTGTACTGAAGAGATTGTATCTTTTCTTAATATATGATGTTTAGTTTCACTGGATGCAAAATTCTTGGCTGATAATTGTTTCGTTTGAGGAGGCTGAAGATAGGACCTCAATCCCTTCTAGCTTGTAGGGTTTCTACTGAGAAATCTGCTGTTAATCTCATAGGTTTTCATTTATAGGTTACCTGGTGCTTCTGTCTCATAGCTCTTAAGATTCTTTCCTTCATCTTAACTTTAGATAACCTGATGACAATGTGCCTAGGCAATGACCTTTTTGTGATGAATTTCCCAGGTGTTCTTTGTGCTTCTTGTATTTGGATGTCTAGGTCTCTAGCAAGGCTGGGGACATTTTCCTCAATTATTCCCCCAAATATGTTTTTCAAACTTTTAGATTTCTTTTCTTCCTCAGAAACACTGATTATTCTTAGGTTTGGTTGTTTAACATAATCCCAGACTTCTTGGAGTCTGTGTTCATATTTTCTTATTCTTTTCTCTTTGTCTTTGTTGGATTGAATTAATTCGAAGAACTTATCTTTGAGCTCTGAATTTCTTTTTTCTACTTGTTCAATTCTATTGCTGAGACTTTCCAGAGCATTTTGCATTTCTATAAGTGTGTCCAATGTTTCCTGAATTTTTTATCATTTTTTCTTTAAGCTATCTATTTCCTTGAATATTTATTCCTTCACTTCTTGTATCATTTTTTAATGTCCTTGCATTGGGCTTCACCTTTCTCTGGTGTCTCCATGATTAGCTTAATAAGTAACCTCCTGAATTCTTTTTCAGTTAAATCAGGGATTTCTTCTTGGTTTAAATCCATTGCTAGTGAACTAGTGTGGTTTTTGAGGGGTGTTAAAGAGCATTGTTTTATTATATTACCAGAGCTGGTTTTCTGGTTCCTTCTCATTTGCATAGGTTCTGAGGGAACCTCTGCATAGTCAGAGAGAAGGTCTAGGGCTGAATGCTATTGTTCAGATTCTTTTGTCCCACAGGGTGTTCCCTTGATGTAGTACTCTCCCCCTTTTCCTATGGATGTAGCTTCCTGTGAGCCAAACTGCAGTGATTGTTGTCTGTCTTCTGGGTCTAGCCACCCAGCAAGTCTACCTGGCTTGGGGCTGGTACTGGGGGTTGTCTGCACAGGGTCCTGTGATGTGAACCATCTGTGGGTCTCTCAGCTGTGGATACCAGCACCTGTTTCAGTGGAGGTGGCAGGGGGTGGTGAATGGACTCTTTGAGGGTTCTTAGCGTTGGTGATTTAATGATCTATTTTTAGGCTGGTTGGCCTCCTGCCAGGAAGTGGCACTTTCCAGAAGCATCAGCTGTGGCAGTATGGAGGGGAACCAATGGTGGGCTGGGCCCTAGAACTCCCAAGATTATATGACCTTTGTCTTCAGCTACCAGGGTGGGTAGGGAAGGACTATCAGCTGGGGTCAAGTATAGGCATGACTGAGCTCAGACTCTGCTTGGGCAGGTCCTCCCGGAGCTGCTATGGGAGATGGGGGTGGGGTTCCCAGGTCAATGGACTTATGTACCTAGGAGGATTATGGCTGTCTCTGCTGAGTTATGCAGGTTGCAGGGAGGTAGGGTGGGGGAAGCTAGCAGTCACAGACTTCATCCAGTTCCCATGCAAACCTAAGAGCCAGTCTCATTCCCACTGTGTCCGTCACTAGCAGACCTGAGTCTGTTTCCAGGCTGTGGGCGAACTGGGCTTCAGAATTTGCCTCAGGCTACGTGCCTCTCAGCTGTGAAAGAAAAGGGCTTGGTTCTTCCCCTGCCTGTGGAGTCTGCTCACCAAATTTGCTCCCTCCCCTGAGTTCTGGCCAGGAGGCTTCACGCCGAGTTCAAATTGTTATGAAGTTCAGCTGGAGATTTCCTTCTCCCTGTAGTGTTCTCCACCCGCCAGCTCCTCTGGTCACCCTCCCAATGGATTCCTGTGGTGCCAGGCAGGAATGAACTGCCTGGGGATGCAGCGAGCTCCCAGGACCTTACCCACTGCTTCCTCTACCCAGGTATTTCACTCGGCTCCCCAAATTGACTCAGCTCCAGGTAAGGTCAGAATCTTCCCTCTCAAACAGACCTTCAGTTTCTCCAGTGGGCGTATGTGTTTGAGAGAGGAGGATCTCCGTTTCCCTCTTCTGCAGTTGAGGCACTCACAGTATTTGTGGGGTTGGTCTCCTGGGTCCTGCAGGAGCAGTCTTCTTCCTTCAGAAGGTTTGTGGGTCCTCTCAGGATTGCTGGTTTGTTCTTACAGTTGATCTGGAGCTAAAATTCACATGCAAGCCTCTGCAAGCTGCTCTGTTCTTCCGAGTCAGAGCTGCAATCTAGTCCTGCCTCCTGTCCACCATGATCATCTACAGGAGAAATTTATCCAGGATCCAAACAAAAAGGAGCTGGATTCTCATTTATAAATTTGTAAATCATTTATAAATTCACATGGCAGGTTTTCTTCTAAGAAATGCTCAGGATTAGGCTTATTTCATTGGTCTTTCAAAATGAGGGAAGTTTTTCAAGCCATCTTATTCTAGTACCCGTGTAACATAAAGGCAAAGGCTAAAGAGGGATTCTATGCCAAAACACAGTAAAATAACAGCCTTTAAATTTAGAAAGACAGCTTCAGTCAAAAAGTTAAAACACAAAGGAACACAATTACAATTAATAAGACCACCAATTTGATCATAATCTTCTATAAAAAGTTGTATCCACATCCCCCTCTGGTGTACATATTGCATTTACATTTCCGTCAGCACCCTGCGGTAAAACAGTAAAACATTATCTACCATATCAGTAAAACATTATCTACCATCAACTGCCTTGTCAGTGAATTTTTTGTCTGACTTTTTTGTTAGGTTCAGAGGGTACATGTGTAGGTTTGTTACATGAGAAAATTGAAAGTCACTGAGGTTGGGGGCATAAATGATCCTGTCACCCAGGTAGTGAGCACAGTATCTGATGGGTAGTTTTTCAAACTATGCCCACCTCCCACCCTCCAGATCATTCTATCAAAAATACACATTCATTCGTATGCTCATTGCACCACTATTTGCAATAGCAAAGACATGGAATCAACCTAGATGCCTATCAACAGTGGAATGGATAAAGAAAATGTGATACTTATACACCAGGGAATACTATGCAGCCCTAAAAATTAAATGAAGTCATGTCCTTTGCAGCAACATGGTTGCAGCTGAAGGCCATTTTCCAAAGTGAATTAACATAGGATCAGTGAATTTTAATGACAAGGAAAAAATACGTTGACTTCGTTATGTGACTTTCAGTAGGAATGGCATTCCTCCTCAGTGAGGGCTGCTATGTTCTGCCCATTCCTTTTTATGCTAGAATTGGAGAAGTTAAGAATTTGTTTTACAAGGCTATAATTTTCATATAAAATTGTGTCACCTGACCCAAGTCTTAGAGGTGAGGGCCAGCAGGGAGAGAAAGGAAAAAGTAACTTCCCCAGTAGTTAGAGCCAGAATACAAATGGAAATGGAAGAATTAACTTTAAGAAAAGCAAAGTCAAAATGAAAAGAGGTAAGATTGGATGCAGATGCCAATATAATGTTCAGGTGAAAGTAAGCAGAAAGTTTTAGCTAATCTCACCTGACAGTCCCTATTTTCTCTGTGAAATAGAAGCAAGGATGTCTCAGCATGAAGGTAGAGAAGATGGAGGAAACAGAGGAGGACCTGCTTGTAAAAGTCATTGTGGGAACTAAGAGGGAGAATGAATAGCATGATTTGTATAACTGTATGATCTAGGATTGAGTGATTTTTCCAAGCCGAAGTATCAACGTGAGACAAAAACATGAGAGACAGAATGCGTTTCGGAGTCATACTGCTCTGGTCTCAGATATCTGCTTTTCCTTCTAGCTACGTTTTCTTTGGCAAGTTACTTAATATGTAAACTGCACGTTCTCTATTGGTACTAGTGGAATAAGAGTGCCTAGGTTACAGGGTTTGTGAGGATTAAGCAAAGGAATGCAAAGTGCTTGGCATATTGTAGATAATGAATAACAAAAGCCACCATAATAGGAAAATAAATGGTCCATAATAAAAGTGTAAATTTGTGAGTATTCACTGGATTTAGAAGAACAGCAATACAAAATGAAAGTTAAAATACTAGATGAAAATGAATTAAAATAATTATTTGACATTAAGATAATTGGGTTTATAGGCAAGAGTAGTAGTTTGTTGCCATGATGTAACAGCTGATTTTATTCTATCAGTTAATTTCAAGTAAAGTCATAAGTTTAGTTTTAAAAAAACATAATTTCATTTTTAAAGAGCTTTTTATTTGTAAAATATGAATATAGAAGTAAAAATATCTCAATATTTAAATTTTATATAAAGTAAATAATTAAAAATTCAATTTCTTCACTCCCCAAACTCTTTTTGCTGAACTCACTTAAGTCTTCATTGCAAAGGAAAACCAATTTTCTCTTTCTCTCTCTTTTTTCTCTCTCAATTTATCTTTTACCAACAATTGTATCTAAAAATTGTGTTTCTTTTAATCATTCTCTTCTATACTGAGGGCTGGCAAATGACTACCTGTAGGCTAAATGTAGTTTTTATAAATAAAGCTTTATTAGAACACAGTGACCCTCATTCATTTACATATTGCCTATGGCTGCCTTCATGATATGACAAGGTTGAGTAGTTTTGACTAACCACAGGGCTGCGAAGCCTAAAAAATTTACTGTCTGGCTCTTTACAGAAAATCTTTGCTTACCCAGGTTTACTTTGGCCTAATCTGTTGCTTACTCTTCTTTACTTAACTTAGTGTTATGGTTGTCTCTCTAGGTCAATATATAGGTGTGTTTTATTTATTTAAATTATTTCAGATTATACTCTGAAATTATTCATGTTAATTTGTTTAATCACCATTGGAAGTCTAAATCATTTTTAGTTTTGAAGATATACTAAAGTCAGATTTACTAAGTACATATTAATTGCTAGAGTATGGTATATATTTTTTAGAATGTTATAAGAAAGTAACAGCTTTCTGTAACATATTTAGAGATACTATGTTCCATGAATATTCCAGTTCATTATAAAAAGTAATGAAACCATGAGGAAAATTCAAGTGAGTAAAAATAATATTATGAAAATGACTACTAAAAAACCTAAAATAAAGTTAAATAATGACTCCCAAATTTGAAGGGTATTATATCATAGAGCATAGCAAAATTAGTGATTACTAGTTATTTTCTCAATAGAAGCCCTGCTCCCCTTTTATTCTTATGGATAGAACTCCAATTTAGCCATGTTCCAGTTAAACATACCCAGGGCTCAAGGCAGCTAAGGGTGGCCTTGTAATACTGCTTTCCAAGTAATTATGTAAAGAAATGCAGACATGACACCTACGGTTCCAGCAACCATCTGATAGCCTTGATTTGAGAAGCATTGTTTTAAAGGCTTATATTTTGACGTATGATGGAGTGGGAAGCTAGAAAGTCATGTGTCCTGATCATGCCTTTGAGCCATAATATTAGCCTTAAACTGACTTGTCCCTAACATTTTGTGGTATGGGGCAATTTAGCCCCTACCTTTTAAAAGCACAATAGGAGAACTTCCTGTTATTTGAAACAGATGTAGTCCTATCAAGCAACCAGCAATCTGTAATGTGCTACAATAAGTTCCATTTAGTCCAGAATTAACTTTCTACATAAGCATGTTATTTTTCCCCCAATTACTGTACGAACATTGAACTCAGGAAGTTTTTATAAAGTAGGTATGTAATACATATATCCACAGCTTTAAATCCTATTTATACTTCACCACTTCCAAAATTTCTATTTCTCAACCGAAATTATCTTTGCAGATCAAGCTTTACATAACCAACAGATTTTTGTCATTTGGATGTCTGACACAAATTTCAAATTTAACACATGCAAAACTCAGTGCTTAATCTTACCTGCCAAATCTCTCTCCTCCTTCAGCCTTCAAAGTCCCCATCTACTCTGTTACTTAGGCAGAAACTTAGGTCACTTCCTCTTCACACCCATCATTACCAAAATTCAATATGCCATCAGGGTCTCTGAAGTCGGCTTCCAAAATCTTTCTCATCCCTCCCTTTCAGCATCCATAGAATATGCCATCATTCCCCACGACTGCGTCTGCAATTCTCTCCCGGAATGACACACTCTGCTTTTCCTTTCTATTCCCTCCATTATATTCTCTATACTGCCATGATCTTTTAAAAATATAAATAGAATGTTACTACCCTACTTTCAAAGGTTTTCTATTATACTAAGAAAATGGGATCTAAAAATGCCCTGCATGATCAGCTCCTGCCAACCTCTCTAACCTCATCTTGTATCATTTTCATGCTTGTTCATTATGTTCACAGCATCCTGTGTTCTTTCAGTTCCTAAAACACTCTACGTTCTTTTCTACTCATGAGACTCTATACATGCTGAACCCCTTCATTAAATGTCTCCCTAGATAACTATTACTTTTTCTTTAGGTCCCTTTAGTTTTATAGAAAGATGTACTAAATTCACGTTAATTAAGTACATATTAACAATTTCCAGAGTATGGTATATATCTTTTAGAATGTTACAAGAAAGCAACAGCTTTCCATGAATATTCCAGTTCATTTTAAAATAAAAAGTAATGAAACCATAAGGAAAATTCAAATGCATAAAAATAATATTATGAAAATGGGCTGTACCCTGTAGCATTCTGAGGAAAGGCCTGAATTCTGCGAAGGGAAAGTGGTAAAAGTATTGTCCAGTCCTTTTTAAGTTGGTGGCTGAGCTTGGTGAGGTGTGTTTTTGAAAGACTTTTGGTTGTTCTACCTTTCCTGAAGACGGAGGACTGTAAGGTATATAAAGGTTTTGCTGAATACTAAGAGCCTGAAAAACTGCTTGGCTGATTTGACTAATAAAGGCCGGTCTGCTATCGGACTGTATAGAGGTGGGAAGGCCAAACCGAGGAATTATGTCTGACAGAAGGGAAGAAATGACCATGGTGGCCTTCTTAGACCTTGTGGGAAAGGCCTCTACCTATCCAGTGAAAGTGTCTACCCGGACCAAGAGGTATTTTAGTTTCCTGAATTGGGGCATGTGAGTAAAGTCATTTTGCCAGTTCTGGGCAGGGGCAAATCTCTGAGCTTGATGTGTAGGGAAGGGAGGGGGCCTGAATAATCCTTGAGAAGCAGTAGAATAGCACATGGAACACTGAGAGGTTATTTCCTTGAGGATAGATTTCCACGATGGAAAGGAAATGAGAGGTTTTAAGAGGCGGGCTAGCGGCTTGTACTGTAGCATAGCCTGCCTTTGCTGGTGTGTGGCGATTAGGCCTGGTGGAACTGCCATCAATAAACCAAGTGTGATCAGGGTGAGGAACAGGAAAGAAGGAAATATGGGGAAATGGGGTGAATGTCAGGTGGATCAGAGAGATACAGTCATGGGGGGTCAGGTGTGGTATCAGGAATAATGTGGGAGGCTGGATTGAAGTCCGGGCCAGGAACAATGGTAATTGTGGGAGACTCAACAAAGAGTGAGTACAGCTGAAGGAGCCAGGGAGCAGAAAGTATATGTGTCAGGTGTGAGGAAGAAAATAGATTTTGGAAGTTATGAGAACTGTAGAGAGTGAGTTGAGCATAGTTTGTGATTTTAAGGGCCTCTAAAAGTATTAGGGCAGCGGTGGCTGCTGCACACAGACTTGAGGGCTAGGCAAAACAGTAAGGTCAAGTTGTTTGGGTAAAAAGGCTACAGGGTGCGGTCCTGGTTCTTGTGTAAGAATTCTGACTGCACAGCCCTGCACTTCGGCTGTGGGTAATGAATAGGGTTGGGATCAGTCAGGCAGAGCTAGGGTGGGGGCAGTCTCTAAAGCTGTCTTCAAGGAATGGAAAGAGGAGTGGGGAAAGGATTTAGGATCTATGGGGTCAGCTAGGTTTCCTTTTGTGAGTTTATATAATGGTTTTGTTAGGATGGCAAAACCAGGTATCTAAAGTTGAAAGTATCTAACCATGCCTAGGAAGGAAAGGAGTTGTTGTTCTGTAGAAGGTGCTGGGGCTTGAGAGATCAGTTGGACACGATCGGCAGGGAGTGCACGTGTATTTTTATGAGAATTATGCTGAGATAGGTAACAGATGAGGAAGAAATTTGGACTTGACTGAAGTAATGGGGGCTGTCTGCGAAGCTTTGTGGCAGTACAGCCCAGGTAATTTGCTGAGCCTGATGGGTGTCAGGGTCAGTCCAAGTGAAAGTGAAGAGAGGCTGGGATGAAGGGTGCAAAGGAATAGTAAAGAAAGCATGTTTGAGATCCAGAACAGAATAATGGGTAGTAGAGGGAGGTATTGAGGATAGGAGAGTATATGGGTTTGGCACCAAGGGGTGGATAGGCAAAACAATTTGGTTGATAAGGCGCAGATCCTGAACCAACCTGTAAGTCTTGTCTGGTTTTAGGACAGGTGAAATGGGGAAACTGTAAGGGGAGTTTATAGGCTTTAAAAGGCCATACTGTAACAGGCCAGTGATAACAGGCTTTAATCTTTTTAAAGCATGCTGTGGGATGGGATATTGGCATTGAGTGGGGTAAGGGTGATTAGGTTTTAATGAGATGGTAAGGGGTGCATGATCAGTTGCCAAGGAGGGAGTAGAGGTGTCCTATACTTGTGGGCTATGGTGGGGAGATACAAGGGGAGGATGTGAAGGAGGCTTTGAACTGGGGGAAAAGGTGACAAAGAGGCGTGGCTGTAGCCTAGGAATAGTCAGGGAAGCAGAAAATTTAGTTAAAGTATCTCAGCCTAATAAGGGAACTGGGCAGGTGGGGATAACCACAAAGGAGTGTTTAAAAGAGTATTGTCTAGGTTGGCACCAGAGTTGGGGAGTTTTAAGAGGTTTAGAAGCCTGGCCGTCAACACACACAACAGTTATGGAGGCCCTTGAAAGGGAAACAGGCCCTTGAAAAGAAGGTAATATGGAGTGGGTAGCCTCCATATAAATTAAGAAGGGGACGGACTTACCTTCCACTGTAAGAGTTACCCAGAGTGTCTGTGATGGTCCTGTAGGCTTCTGAGGCAATCAAGCAGTGTCAGTCTTCAGCTGCTAAGTAGAGAAGATCTGGGAAGGAGTCAGTCAGAGAGCCTTGGGCCAGAGTTCCAGGGGCTCTGGGAGTGGCTGCCGGATGAGTTGGACAGTCCGATTTCCAGTGGGGTCCCACACAGATGGGACACGGCTTAGGAGGAATCCCGGGCTGCAGGCATTCCTTGGCCTGGTGGCCAGATTTCTGGCACTTGTAGCAAGCTCCTAGGGGAGGCAGTTCTGGAGGAATGCCTGGCCACTGCGGTTCGGGTGTTTGGAAGTTCTTGCATGCTGGAGATGTGGCTGGGGTTTGTCTCACAGTGGAGGCAAGGAATTACAACTCAGAAATACATTGTTACTTGGCTGCCTCTACTCTTCTATTGTACACCTTGAAGGCGAGGTTAATTAAGTCCCGTTGTGGGGTTTGAGGGCCAGAATTTAATTTTTGGAGTTTTATTTAATGTCAGGAGCAGATTGGGTAATAAAATATATATTGAGAATAAGACGGCCTTTTGACCTTTTAGTGTTTAGGGCTGTAAAGCATCTCAGGGTTGCTGCCGAACAAGCCGTTAACTGGGCTTGGTTTTTCATATTTGATGAAAGAGTCTAAACACTAACTGATTTGGAAGAGGTCGGATAAAGAAAAAGGAGCATTAACCTTGACTATGCCTTTAGCTCCAGCCACCTTTTTAAGAGGGAATTGCTGGGCAGGTCGGGGAGGGCTAGTCACCGAACAAAACTGTAAGCTGGACCGGGTGCGAGGAGGGGAGGTGATAAAAGGATCATAGGGTGGAGGAGCAGAGGCTGGGGGAAGAATTGGGACCTAGCTCGGCCTGGCAAGGAGGGGAGAGGTCAGATGGGTCTGTAGAAAAGGAAGATTAGAAAGACTTAGTAACACTTGGGGTTGGGACTGAGGGGACAGGCGGGAGGGAAGGAAGATTTGGGATAAGTTGCATTGGGAACAGAGACGGGAGGGACCAGTGTGTAAAAGAATGCCTGGACGTCAGGCATCTCAGACCGTTTGCCCATTTTATGACAAGAATTATTTAGGTCTTGTAGGATGGAGATAATCAAAAATGCCATTTTCTGGCCTTTTAGAGCCATTGTCAAGTTTGTATTGTGGACAAGCAGTGTTGCAGAAGAAAATAAGATGCGTAGATTTTAGGTCAGGTGAGAATTGGAGAGGTTTTAAGTTCTTAAGAACACAGGCTAAGGGAGAAGAAGGAGGAATGGAGGGTGGAAGTTTGCCTATAGTGAAGGAGGCAAGTTTAAGGAGAAGGGTAGAGACACGGAGAAGGGGGTGAGGAGTAGCCCTGGGCTGCAACATGGGTGAGCAGCCAAAGCAGATGTCCCCGCAATTGACTTGCCACCAAGGGAATGTGGGTGAATAATCAAGGCAGGCATCCCCGTGGAGATCAGACACCAATGGAACATGGGTGAATAATCAGAGAGGTGTCACCACAATGATTAAACAACAAGGGAAGGCTGCCTTCCGGTGTCCGTGACTGGCGCCGGAGTTTTGGGTCCACGGATAAAATGTGTCTCCTTTGTCTCTACCAGAAAATGAAAGGAACTGAAATTAAGAGAAGGGAGAGATTGCAGTGTGGCCCCAAGATTGAAAGGAGAAAGAGGTTGAGGGATAGTGAGGGAGGTTGGAGAAGAGAGTAAAAAGAGGCCGCTTACCGGATTTGAAATTGGTGAGATGTTCCTTGGGCTGGTCTGTCTGAGGACCAGAGGTCGTAGGTGTATCTTTCTCACAGAGCAAAGAGCAGGAGGACAGGGGGTTGATTTCCCAAGGAGGGTCCCCTGATCTGAGTCATGGCACCAAATTTCACTCACTTGCGTCCATGTGAAGAGACCACCAAACAGGCTTTGTGTAAACAATAAAGCTTTTAATCACCTGGGTGCAGGCAGGCTGAGTCCGAAAAGAGAGTCAGCGAAGGGAGACAGGGGTGGGGCCGTTTTATAAGATTTGGGTAGGTAAAGGAAAATTACAGTCAAAGGCAGGTTGTTCTCTAGCAGGCAGGAGTAGGGGTCACAAGGTGCTCAGTAGGGGAGCTTTTGAGCCAGGATGAGCCAGGAGAAGGAATTTCACAAGATAATGTCATCAGTTAAGGCAGGAACAGGCCATTTTAACTTCTTTTGTGGTGGAATGTCATCAGTTAAGGCAGGAATCAGCCATCTGGATGTGTACGTGCAGGTCACAGGGGATATGATGGCTTAGCTTGGCCTCAGAGGCCTGACAAGTATGTTTTGTTCTAAAGAGAGTCATTGAGGGATATTTTCATGTTTGTAGGAACTGTGGCCTCAAAGTAGACAGGAACATTTGGCTTAGACCTCAGTGATGAAGGTATGATTATCCTCAGAGGACTATAAACCTAATACATCAGTAACTGCAGCTTTTGTTTGGTTTATGCTCAATAAAACCACTTTGAGATATAAAAAGTTTCTTTTTTAACCATGTTATTGAGGAACAATATACATAAAAAGGTTGTACTTATTTCATATATACTACTTGATGAGTCTTGAGATAAGTACACACCAATGAGATTATCACTATAATCTATGTCATAAATATATTCACCACCTCAAGAAGTTTCTTTCTTCTTCTTTTTTTGTGTATTTTTTTTTTTTAATGGAGTTTTGCCCTTGTCACCCAAGCTGGAGTGCAATGGCGCCACCTCGGCTTGATACAACCTCCACCTCCCAAGTTCAACAGATTCTCCTGCCTTAGTCTCCCAGATAGTTGGAATTATAGGCACCCACCACCACGCCTGGCTAATTTTTGTATTTTCAGTAGAGACAGGGACTAACCATGTTAGTCAGGCTGGTCTCGAACTCCTGACCTCAGGTGATCCACCCACCTTGGCCTCCCAAAATGTTAGGATTATAGGCATGAACCACTCTGCCTGACCTCTTTCTTTTTTATTTATACTATCACTTTTTTATGATAAAAAATACATAACATAAGATTTACCCTCTTAGCAATTTTTTTAAGTATAATATTGTTAACTGAAACATTGTTGTAAAGTACATCTCTAGAACATACTTATGTTGGATAACTGAAACTTTCTATTCTTTGATTAATACCTCCCACTTCCCCTCTCTCCATAAGTACATTTTCATTAGTATTCTTATAAGATATTCATTTTCTCTGTTGTATTGTATTCCATTTTATGGCCATTAAAAAATATCATTTTTTCTGGTGAAGGCAAGGTAAATGTTTTCTAAGATGTTCAGTTACACATAATGCTACCATGAAACTTCTTGTATGTGTTTCTTGGAGCGTATAAGCAAGACATTCTCTGAAGTTTTACGAGTCATAAGTTGCATATATTTTCATTCATATGGTAACACTATATTTCTTCCAAAGTGATTATTTCAGTCACTTCTACCAGCAGTGAACAGTTTCCAATACTCTCCATCTTGACAAACATCTAAACTAATTCTCTAATTTAATTTTCTTTTATATTTTGGACAAATTATTTTCTATTTTACCTCTTTGTGGTTGTAATTTGCATTTTCTTGATTACTAACAAGGTTGATCTTATCATCTTTTTAGTGCATATTTGTGTTCATGATTCCTGAATTATCTGTTTATTTTTCATTTTTGCCTACTTTTGTCTTTTTTTATTTGTATAATTTCAATTTATCCAATCTAAATTTACTGGTTTATAGTTTCAAATATTTTCACCCAGTTTGTAACTTTTCTTTGTACTGTTTTTTGTTGTCACATATTTTAATGAACCAAAAAAATATAATTTTACTTTGCTGAATTTTTTAAGAACTTATTTTGTAATTTATAGTTTGTTTTTTCTCTTAAGAACTTTTCTACGTGGTAGTCATACAGATATTATCCCCTATACTCTTTTAAAAGTCTTAAAATTCTGTTTTACATTTGGATCTTTATTCAACCTGAAATTAATCTTTGATTAAGGTGTGAGTTAGAAATGCTAAAGTACTATTTTTTCTATTTGGATAATAAATTATGTTAGGACCTCTTTTGGGTAATTTTTTTTCTTTTTTTTTGGTTTTTTGTTTATTACTGTTAGTGATATTCCCTTCTAGTTTTTTACCCATCTCTTTAAAAAAAATACATGTTTACATAGATAACATAATACTATGTCATAGACAGTATTATAGATTATTTTTGCTTAACCATATAAAGTAAGCATTTCTTTATGGTTTTACAAAGCCTTAAAAATTCAGTTTTAATTGCTTTAAAAAAGCACATCATAAAGATATTTCAAAATTGTATTACCTTTCATTTTCTTGCTATTAGGTATTGAGACTATCTCACATTTGCTCTTCTTATTACACATATTTAAGTTGTACAATATGATGTTTATATATGTGTAGTAAAGTGATTACTAAAGTCAAGTAAATTATCATATTCATCTCTTCACATTTTTTTTCTTGTTTTTGGTAGTGAGAGCACCTGAAGTCTATTTTCTTGGGAAAATTTTAGTGTATAATACAGCATTATTAACTCTAAACATCATACTATACAGAAGTCTTGTACAATATTAGTGAAAAAGTAAATTAGTACAGCAACTATGAAAAACATTATAGAGATCCTTTAAAAGGTTTAAAATAGAAATACCATTTGTCCAGCAATTTCTTTTCTGGTATATGCCTAAAGGAGTTGAAATCAGTACCTCAAAGAGATGTCTGTGCTTCTAAGTTCTTTGTAAAATTTTTCACAATATCCAAGATACGGAAACAACCTAAGTGTACATCAAAGGATGGTGAATAGTCTCTCCACCTTGAAGAGTGACAGGAAGCTCCATTTTGAATTAGAGCAAGGATCCTTTTCCCTTTTCTCTTTAGCTCTGCCATATTTCACAGTAACTTTTTTTATATTTCAAGAAAAGAGATATACATATTTATTATAAGACAGCATTTGAGCCAGGAGAATAGATGAGTTCACTCAAAAAAGTGTTAAAATGTAAATATAATATTGGAGTAATAAATTTCATTAATTTTGTTGAATATGGAATATGGAAAGTTTCCCCGGAAAGAAAGAGAGTCTGGATCATTTGCTAACCCATCAGTGTCGTGAGTTAGAAAAAGAACATGTGGAGCTAGATAGGCTATGACTGAAATGTGGCCTTTCTGAACTTCAGTTGGGAACTAGAGGAAAATAACAAAAGATTACTGTGTTCATTGAAAAAAAAATTCTAGTTAACATGGCATATGATGCATATAACGCAGCACATAATGCATATAATATAGCATATAAGCTTTGGTAGACATCTATTGTTTTAACTTCCATCTAAGACCTTCAAACCATTTTAAATGCTGATTCCAGATCTTGTAGTAAATATTCAATTACTTTCCAATACCCATTAAATTAAAAACAGGTAGACATTCAAATTCCCTCACAATATTGAAAGGAACATGTTTTTCAATTTCTTAGATATTTGCTTGTGCCAAGCCTTTCTTACACCTAAAATACATCTTCCAATTTTTGCCTGAAAAAAAATCCCACCTAATCCTTAGCAGTAGCATTCCTGAACTCCATAAATGTGGGATATAGCACCACCTTCTAGATGTCTATGTCTCACTGTCACTTTAACTATTTTCTCCCTGATTGTCTGTTAGTTTTGTCACCAAAATAGACTAAGCTAATTGAGAGCAGGAAATGATTTTTAACTGATACTCTATTGTATTAGTCAGAGTTCTCTTAGAGGGACAGAACTAATAGGCGATACATATATATAACAGACAAGGTCCCACAATAGACTGTCTGCAAGCTGAGGAGCAAGGAGAGCCAGTCCGAGTCCCAAAACTGAAGAACTTGGTGTCTGATGTTCAAGGGTAGGAAGCATTCTGCATGGGAGAAAGATGTAGGCTGGGAGGTTAGGCCCATCTCTCCTTTTCATGTTTTTCTGCCTGCTTTATATTTGTCAGAAGCTGATTAGATTGTGCCCGCCAGATTAGGGGTGGGTCTGCCTTCCCCAGCCCAGTGACTCAAATGTTAATCTCTTTTGGCAACACCCACACAGACACACCCAGGATTAATACTTTGTATCCCTCAGTCCAATCAAGTTGACACTCAGTATTAACCATCACATCTATACTTATATGAATTTATCTGTAAACTCTCTATAGATAGATATTTATCTATCAATAGGAAGGGTGTGAGAGAGAAAGAAGAGTGAGAGCGAGAAGAGAAAGAGTCAACTCTGTACCAGCATTCAGCTAAGTGCTACACACATACACACACACACAAACAATATTTAAAGGTAAATTTTTGCTATTCAGTTAGTGTCATTAGGCTACCCTACCCTATTAATTAAAATTCATAAGATCTTAGAAATATCAGAGCGATAAAGGGGCATCAGGAATCATCTCGTCTAGGGGGTTCAGGAATAGCAATTGTGGAATTTAAACCTGTACATTTACGGCCCCATTAACAGAAGTTCTAATTCAGTACTGTTGTGGTGAAGGCCTAACACTTGCATTTTGTTTAATTCTAAAAGCTGATGCTGATGCACACTCTTACTTGAGAAATTCTGATCTCTTTGACCATCCCCTTCCTACTCTTCTTATAAATTAAACTACTATCATGAACAGTAACTCATACCAGATCACTGAAAATTTTGATGATGGAAGTAGAAGTCAGATGTCTTGTGACATCTTGAAGTGATCTTTCTTTCCTTTCCACTGATATTAGCTTCCTAGTACAGGAAACTAACAGCACTCTGATATTTCTTGATTGCTTCCTATTTTGCTACTAACTTTATAATTTTCCACAGGCAATGCCATTTTTTTTAACTGCAGCCTTGAAGTTTTGAGGCTGTGAAAATCACCAGGCAAGAACAGTGGCTCTGTGGCAAAAGTAGATTCTGGAGATGATGCTTCTGATTAAACCTGAGGGACAATCCATGTTTTTTTTCCATTGAGATATGGGGTTGTGCTAGCATTTTCTTCTATCTCAACTCAGATGAAAATATGAAGACAAGCAAGATTAACTCACTGTTTCACAGACAGAATATACATATGTATGTCTTCTAAATAGGTACTCTACCCATGGGAAAAAGGAAACACTGAAATCCGTAGTATAGCTGGAATGACTCCAATCTCATTAGATGTTGTCGCCTTTGATTAATTTTCACCATTTTCTAAAATTATTAAATATGTAAATTATTCCATAAACTCATCTTTAGCAGAATCAGGGTAAGATCTGCTTAATTAATAATGGTTATAATGCATTTCAGATATAGACTCTGTAATTGAATATATATATATTTGTGAATTTTTTATTTTATTTTGAAACAGCAAATCACAAGAAATAGCTAATTCTACCCCCATCTTATTGAACTCCCTGAAAGTGAATATTCTGATTGTAATTACTGAAGAATTTGATATCTACAAACCTGATCCTGGCACCTATGAAGGTATCTTGAAAGGAGAGATAGGACACAGATTAATGCACAGAGCCAAGATAACTACCTCAGAATTTCCAAGGGGAACAGATTCTTCCTATAAAGTTAATAATCCTAGAAAGAGAGCTCAATCCCTAATGGAAAAGTTAAAAGAAGACATTGGTAAGCTTTCATGTTTAAAGTTAAAATTCACCATGGATTCTTTAATAATTTTATCCAAAAATAGAAGGAAGTATTAATTTTATTATTAGTAAATTATTATTAAACTTGGGGCAATCAATGATTTAAATCAAGCTGGGCTAATTGAGAGTGAATTATCATCATCCTCTGTGAGAATATTGCTGATAAATTATCTCTGAAGTCCAAAGAATTATTATGCATTTATTCTT
This sequence comes from Homo sapiens, assembly GCF_000001405.40. Lineage (NCBI taxonomy): Eukaryota > Metazoa > Chordata > Mammalia > Primates > Hominidae > Homo > Homo sapiens. Next base: position 52,033,136 of record NC_000002.12, read on the forward strand.
ATAAATTATGGCTCCATGGTAAACCGGATGAGATTTTAATATTTTAGCATTCATTAGGTTGTGAAGCCTTAGAGCCAGCATAGGGATCAGGAAGCCTGTTTTGTCTTGTGATGAGAATAATTCTGTTACAGTTAATTGCTATAATTATCACAAATTTATATAAATTCAGATTAACCTATAGAATTAAAGTTAATATTTAAACTGCATGTTTTATCTTAGAATTAAAGGGTGTATAGGTTTGGTTTCTGCACTTAAACACTTAATATAAAGAACTTTAACATGTGCAATGTGGATAATCATTTTATTTTAGACTTAGCATGCAAAGTACATAATTAAAAGCTAACTTACATAAGCTTATGGAAGCTTATCTGAACTGTTACTTAGTCTGTGTCATTATGTGTTCATTTGTGTTTTTACACTTGTAACCAGTAATTAATTCTGCTGAATGACTGCAGTAACTGGAGGAAAGGGCAGCTTCTTTAGAGGTAAAAAGACTTGAAGAGGATGAAGTGAAATCTCATGTAGATGAAGTGCACATCTAGGCAAAGAGAGAATATAGAATTGTCTCTCATCTAGTCTACAAGTCATTTGTTTACTTATTTAAGAAGTATTTATAACTAATTAACTTTATTTAACAAGTATTTATTACTAATCTACTCTTTGGTTGGTATTTCAAAACCAATAGATGAAGGAGACTAATGTTTGCTTTCTGTCCTCACAGATATCCTAGTCTAGGAAGAAGTACTCATAATCAGTCACTTGTTATAACTGTCTGTTAGAAATTATAGATAGTGCTATGGTTTGAATGTGTCCCCCAAAGTTCATGTGTTAGAAACTTAATTACCAATGCAATTATATTCAGAGTAAAATCTTTAAAAGGTAATTAGATCTTGAGGGCTGTGCCCTCATGAATAGATTTATGTTATTATCACAAGAGCGAGTTAGTTATCACAGGAGTGGGTTCATGATAAAAGGATAAGTTCTCCCCCTTCCCCTCTCATGCCTGTGCACACTCTCTTGCCCCTTTACCTTCCGTTATGGGATGACACAGTCCAAAACATCCTTCTTGACCTTGGACTTCCCAGCCTTCAGCACTGGGAGCCAAATAAATATCTGTAATTATAAATTACCCGGTATGTGATATTCTGTTATAACAACACAAAACAGATATGGAAGTAAATACTAAGATGGGATCCCAATAGTGAATAGGCATTATCTATATGAAGAGAACAGAGGAGAATTTGTATGCTATGTAGAGTGACAGACATTAGTCTGGAGAGACTTTGCCACTTTTAAAGTTCTTTTTGGTGGACAATATATTAGGGCACAGAAAGAATGAAGAAGGATATCCCAGGCTGAAAAGCCAGCAATGACTGGAAAGGGTAGAGCTTTGTGACCCATGTTAACGATTAGGTCACATGAGAAATGAAAGCAGCTTGGGGCTGTGGTGTAGACATTCAAACTAAAGAGCATGTAAAAAGATGTGAAATCAAAGGGTACCAGAATGTGCACTCCAAAATATGCCACTTTATATTCTGTAAGGGATAAAAATTTATTTTTCCTTCTACCCTTCTAAGGTAGGCCACATAAGGATGATTTTGAGCTAAAGGCAATTGAGAATCAGAAGATACACAAAAAGCTCTTTAGCTCCCCCTAACCAACTAAAAGTCAAGTTTAAATTTCTCCTTTAGTAAAGTAAATTGACATTTAAAAAGGAAATTTTTATTTGTACAGCTGTCTCCCCTACGCTAATGGGGCTAGTCCAGGAGGCAGGCTTATCTCCTGAGTGACCCTTACTTGCATAACAAGAGAACTCTTATTTACTATCAGTCTCTTCCCCTCAGCTTCCCACAGTTTACCTCCCTGACCCAGAAGTTCAAAATCCATTTTCTTTCAGTTAGCCTAAAACGTATATAAGCCTCAATCACCTGGCCACTTCTTTAAGCCACATTTTTTTTTCTGAAGTCCCACGCTTATATTTATAATAAAGTTGTTTTCTTTCTTGTTAATCTGTCTTTTATCAGTTTGAGTTATGACCCCAGTCATTGAATCTAGATGGGTAGAAGAAAAAAGACTTTTTCACCCCTAGAGAATATAATTAGTAAATACAGTAGTAGAGTTTAGTCATCTTTTACTCAATGCTCAGAAAAGTCCAGTTTGGCAAATATAAGAGTTGGAGTTTGTTGAAATTCACTCAAAATGTCTCAGAATAAAATTAAAATCCAGGTATTTGAGTACAGTGCCTGAGAGTGTGTTCATGTGTGTGCACTAGAAGTTACATATCATGATACATAAAAAGCACATATTGAATTTAGCACCTTGGCAGTTACTGACCCTTGGGAATGTCATTGCTTTGTTTGTTTTGGTTCTGTCTGTTGAAGTATTTATGTACCAGAGTCAGATATTTTTGGTTTGAATCCTGGCTTTGACATCTAGCAAGTATGTGACCTAAGGAATGTGATTGAACTCTTTGTTTCTTCACCTGTCAAAATTGCATAACCTTAATTCCTAGGTTATCAGGAAGTTAGGAGTATTAAATGAGTTAGTAATTGTAAATCACTGGCATGCACTATATGTTCAGTATATGTTGTTGTGGCAGTGATGATACTGGCGATGACTATGATGGTGGTGGTGATGAAGCCTGATAAGCTAGCTTTTGTAGGTTTTAAGGGTAAATGAAAGACAAGTAAATACAAGTTATAAGTATAGGTAACTCTTTTTATAACTAAATTTTTGAAGTGGTGCATGAGATAGGGCTCTAGTTCGTAAAAATAATCTGACCCTCCCCAAAGAAAGATATCTGCTGTTTGCCCTCAGCTTCTTGGAGTTAATTCTTGTTTGCCTAGAGGACTTGGGGTAGCCAGACAGAAACAATGTGATTTAGGGTGAGGATTGGCCATGCCTGACAGTCTTAGGGCAGAGCTGGCCAGCTAGAAAAAGTAACCAAGTCATTAGGGTGAGAGCTTTGAGTCATGTGCCATCAATTGACTTGAAATTCAACCATGGGGGAAATCAATCAATCATATTTATGTAAGGATGTCCCAATAAAAAAACCTGGACAATGAGTCATATGTGAAATTCCTTCAGTTGGCAGTACTCTGTGCATATTGTCACACATCAATTGCAGAAGATGTAACATGTCTCAAAAACACAGGAAAAGCTTTGAATCTGAGTGTTATTTGGGATACACCCCAACCACATTCTCTACTGAATTTATGCGTCATGTCAAAAGTGAGTGTGGTCTTGTGTGGACTCTTCTCTCTAACTTTCTAATTAGACTCCAGCATTTTGAGGTTGGTTTCTGAAGCCTAGAGAAGACTTGGCCACTTGGATGACTGTGCCTTGAAACCATGAACTTGGGCTAATATGAGGTAGTCTCTAGCTGAAGGAAATTTTGTGGTTTAGGAGAGTGCTTCAATTATGTTAACATAATTACTTCATTATTGTTATCAAATATGGAAAGCACCACAGGAATAAAAAAAAATATTGACAAAAGGAAAAAGAAAATCAGCCCCAAACTTACTACTAGGGGACACCAGTTGTAACACCTGGCATACCTGGTTTCATAAATATGTTAATGATCTTTATCAGTTTATTTATAACTAGAAAATTAATTGGGGATATGTTTTTATAAGAATAGGATAATTCTATATATGTGGTATAAGAGTACAATATATTAAGTTAACATTGTCTTGAATTTAAAGGAAGAAAAACAAAAACAAAGTAAATGAGAATCATTGAAATATTTCAAATAATTTAAGTGCAAGTGGAAACCAAAAATAAAATTCTAAGCCTTCCAACCAACTGCCATTGTTAACCAAAGTTAACCTGAAAACCTAGTTCAGGCTATGCTGGGAAGCAGGTGTCCGACATGTCTCCTTATACCTTCCTCCTGTTGGAATTCAGGCATAGCTGACCAGCATTAACATTAAAATAGAGAGCTTAAAACTAATAGAACAGACTCTTTGAGTCTGATAAGAAACACTCCCTTCTACAGATTCTATCTTCACAATGGGAACCTTGGTCTCCACAATTCTTTATCTTAACACATTTATGCCAAAGATTGCAAATGTTTTTTGTGAAAAATCAGGACTTGGCAGTGACCTTGAACAGCAGGATACAAATAACTCCCACAAGCTTAGCGTTCCAATAATGGAACACTAGGCATAAATGAGCTAAACCAGATATGCCCTTCTATTGATTCTAGATCTTTAGACAGTAAGTGAACTCTTTAAACCAGTTGCCAGTTAGCAAATTCTTGAATCCACCTATGACGTGGAAACCCCCCACCACTTCAAGTTATTCCACCTTTCTGGACTGAAACAATGTACATCTCACATGTATCAAATGCTGTCTATGTCTCCCTAAAATGTATATAACCAAGCTGTAGCCCCACCACCTTGATCACATGGTTCTCAGAATCTCTTGGGGCTATGTCACAGGCCATTGGTCATTCAGATTTGGCTCAGAATAAATCTCTTCAAATATGTTACAGAGTTTGACTGTTTTCATTGACACAAGTCATCATCTTTTCCCAAGAAAAAACTCACCAAATTTAGAAAGAATTGCGAGAACTATTGAAAATCGAAGTACTTTAAAAACTGTTGTTTCACTGTAGTTGGCTTTGATACACTCCTTTAAATTACAAAGAGATGATGAAAAAAATTACAAAGAAATTTGTGTATTTAGAAATACTCCCAAACACTCTGCTCTTACATCCTGATTATGTGCTTAAATTACTTTTATTTTAAAGGTAACCACCGTTCTCCAGATTTCTAAACTCAGCCTTAAGTCTAAGTGGTTTCCTCTCAAAATTACTCATTTTCAATGGCTTCCTCATTTCTGAATTTTTTATTTTGTTCATTTCTTGGTTGACTGAATTTATGACTGATGTTCTTCAATAATATCTGTGAAAGGAAAATCTCGGGGCCCAAAAATTACTAAGCTAAAGAAAAAAGTCAAGCTGGGAACTACTCAGAGCAAACCTGCCTCCCATTCCATTCAAACTTCTCCCTCTGCTCATTGAGATAGATGCATATCTGATTGCCTCTTTTGGAAAGGTTAATCAGAAACTCAAAAGAATGCAACCATTTTTTCTCACCTACCTGTGACCTGGATGCCCCCTCCCTGCTTCGAGTTGTCCTGGCCTTTCTGGACTGAACCAATGTAGTTGTTACATACATTGATTGGTGTCTCGTGTCTCCCTAAAATGTATACGACCAAGCTGTGTTCCGACCACCTTGGGCACATGTTGTGAAGACTTCCAGAGGCCGTGTCGGGGGTTCACGTCCTCAACCTTGGCAAAATAAACTTTCTAAATTAACTGAGACCTGTTTCAGATGTTTGGGGTTCACACATCTAATAAATGCAATCGTCCAATAAAATGTCTTCTGATTTACTTCATTCACAATTTGCTGATATAATAACCTAAGATTATAATTTATTTTCCCATAGTTTTGGTAATAATATTTTCATCTAGGCTTAAAGGTTGTGCTTAATATGATGCCAGTCTTATCCTCTAATCTTATCATAAAAATATGATAAACATATTTTTAACAGATAATTTATTCATTTCAAATAGAAAAATGTTAGGTAATTTTCAGACTTTAAATGGATGAAGTTGAATGTAATACTTCTCATTGATCTCTAGCTAACAAATTTCAGAATTGCAACTATCAGAAGTAAAGAATAAACCACTAGGAGGAATTTAAAATTTATTTTCAATAAGAACTAGAAACAGTAGCAGCAAAAAGCACAGGAGTAGTCTGTTTTTCACTCATTCAGCTGTGTCAGCATCAGGTTTATGCTTGACAATTTCTCAAACAGGTGTGTGTTAGCCAGAGTGATGTCAATCAACTAAAGGTCTCAAAGCTGAGAGACAACTTGCATGGGAAAAGATCAACAGAAAAATCTGAAACATCAGGTACCTTTACTCTAGTTTCCTTTCAAACAGCATTATAACTTCAATTACCCCCACAACTTCATAGTCATTACCACTCAGAAAATAAATTTTAAATGTATGACAGTTATGGTCAACAAAACTAAAAATCAAATCAAAACAAAAACACGAAGGCACTTCCTAGCTTTCCTTAATAAGCAATAGTCAAAATTTAAATGACTTATCTTTGATTTCTTGCTCTTTTAGTAAATAGCCCTAATAATTTAGGTCACTTAATCTTTTTCTCTACTCTTAATTTTTCTTATCTCCTACACAACAGATTCAAGGTTTTTTGAATGGCATTCTACTCATACCTAGGTTTTTTTCTGTTTTTTTTTTCTTTTTTTATACTTTAAGTTTTACAGTACATGTGCACAATGTGCAGGTTAGTTACATATGTATACATGTGACATGCTGGTGCGTGGCACCTACTAACTCATCATCTAGCATTAGGTATATCTCCCAATGCTATCCCTCCCCCATCCCCCCACCCCACAACAGTCCCCAGAGTGTGATGTTCCCCTTCCTGTGTCCATGTGTTCTCATTGTTCAATTCCCACCTATGAGTGAGAATATGCAGTGTTTGGTTTTTTGTTCTTGTGATAGTTTACTGAGAATGATGATTTCCAATTTCATCCATGTCCCTACAAAGGACATGAACTCATCATTTTTTACGGCTGCATAGTATTCCAAGTATTCCGTGGTGTATATGTGCCACATTTTCTTAATCCAGTCTATCATTGTTGGACATTTGGGTTGGTTCCAAGTCTTTGCTATTGTGAATAGTGCTGCAATAAACATACGTGTGCATGTGTCTTTATAGCAGCATGATTTATAGTCCTTTGGGTATATACCCAGTAATGGGATGGCTGGGTCAAATGGTATTTCTAGTTCTAGATCCCTGAGGAATGGCCACACTGACATCCACAATGGTTCAACTAGTTTACAGTCCCACCAACAGTGTAAAAGTGTTCCTATTTCTCCACATCCTCTCCAGCACATGTTGTTTCCTGACTTTTTAATGATTGCCATTCTAACTGGTGTGAGATGATATCTCATTGTGGTTTTGATTTGCATTTCTCTGATGGCCAGTGATGGTGAGCATTTTTTCATGTGTTTTTTGGCTGCATAAATGTCTTCTTTTGAGAAGTGTCTGTTCATGTCCTTCGTCCACTTTTTGATGGGGTTGTTTGTTTTTTTCTTGTAAATTTGTTTGAGTTCATTGTAGATTCTGGATATTAGCCCTTTGTCAGATGAGTAGGTTGTGAAAATTTTCTCCCATTTTGTGGGTTGCCTGTTCATTCTGATGGTAGTTTCTTTAGCTGTGCAGAAGCTGTTTAGTTTAATGAGATCCCATTTGTCAATTTTGGCTTTTGTTGCCATTGCTTTTGGTGTTTTAGACATGAAGTCCTTGCCCGTGCCTATGTCCTGAATGGTAATGCCTAGGTTTTCTTCTAGGGTTTTTATGGTTTTAGGTCTAACGTTTAAGTCTTTAATCCATCTTGAATTGATTTTTGTATAAGGTGTAAGGAAGGGATCCAGTTTCAGCTTTCTACATATGGCTAGCCAGTTTTCCCAGCACCATTTATTAAATAGGGAATCCTTTCCCCATTGCTTGTTTTTTTCAGGTTTGTCAAAGATCAGATAGTTGTAGATATGCGGCGTTATTTCTGAGGGCTCTGTTCTGTTCCATTGATCTATATCTCTGTTTTGGTACCAGTACCATGCTGTTTTGGTTACTGTAGCCTTGTAGTATAGTTTGAAGTCAGGTAGCGTGATGCCTCCAGCTTTGTTCTTTTGGCTTAGGATTGACTTGGTGATGCGAGCTCTTTTTTGGTTCCATATGAACTTTAAAGTAGTTTTTTCCAATTCTGTGAAGAAAGTCATTGGTAGCTTGATGGGGATGGCATTGAATCTGTAAATTACCCTGGGCAGTGTGGCCATTTTCATGATATTGATTCTTCCTACCCATGAGCATGGAATGGTCTTCCATTTGTTTGTATCCTCTTTTATTTCATTGAGCAGTGGTTTGTAGTTCTCCTTGAAGGGGTCCTTCATGTCCCTTGTAAAGTGGATTCCTAGGTATTTTATTCTCTTGAAGCAACTGTGAATGGGAGTTCACTCATGATTTGGCTCTCTGTTTGTCTGTTGTTGGTGTATAAGAATGCTTGTGACTTTTGTACATTGATTTTGTATCCTGAGAATTTGCTGAAGTTGCTTATCAGCTTAAGGAGATTTTGGGCTGAGACAATGGGGTTTTCTAGATATACAATCATGTCGTCTGCAAACAGGGACAATTTGACTTCCTCTTTTCCTAATTGAATACCCTTTATTTCCTTCTCCTGCCTAATTGCCCTGGCCAGGACTTCCAACATTATGTTGAATAGGAGTGGTGAGAGAGGGCATCCCTGTCTTGTGCCAGTTTTCAAAGGGAATGCTTCCAGTTTTTGCCCATTCAGTATGATATTGGCTGTGGGTTTGTCCTAGATAGCTCTTATTATTTTGAAATATGTCCCATCAATACCTAATTTATTGAGAGTTTTTAGCATGAAGCATTGTTGAATTTTGTCAAAGGCCTTTTCTGCATCTATTGAGATAATCATGTGGTTTTTGTCTCTGGTTCTGTTTATATGCTGGATTACATTTATTGATTTGCATATATTGAACCAGCCTTGCATCCCAGGGATGAAGCCCACTTGATCATGGTGGATAAGCTTTTTGATGTGCTGCTGGATTCGGTTTGCCAGTATTTTATTGAGGATTTTTGCATCAATGTTCATCAAGGATATTGGTCTAAAATTCTCTTTTTTGGTTGTGTCCCTGCCTGGCTTTGGTGTCAGGATGATGCTGGCCTCATAAAATGAGTTAGGGAGGTTTCCCTCTTTTTCTATTGATTGGAATAGTTTTGGAAGGAATGGTACCAGTTCCTCCCTGTACCTCTGGTAGAATTCGGCTGTGAATCTGTCTGGTCCTGGACCCTTTTTGCTTGGTAAGCTATTGATTATTGCCACAATTTCAGATCCTGTTATTGGTCTATTCAGAGATTCAACTTCTTCCTGGTTTAGTCTTGGGAGAGTGTATGTGTCGAGGAATTTATCCATTTCTTCTAGATTTTCTAGTTTATTTGCGTAGAGGTGTTTGTAGTATTCTCTGATGGTAGTTTGTATTTCTGTGGGATCAGTGGTGATATCCACTTTATCATTTTTTATTGCATCTATTTGATTCTTCTCTCTTTTTTTCTTTATTAGTCTTGTTAGCGGTCTATCAGTTTTGTTGATCCTTTCAGAAAACCAGCTCCTGGATTCATTAATTTTTTGAAGGGTTTTTTGTGTCTCTATTTCCTTCAGTTCTGCTCTGATGTTAGTTATTTCTTGCCTTCTGCTAGCTTTTGAATATGTTTGCTCTTGCTTTTCAAGTTCTTTTAATTGTGATGTTAGGGTGTCAATTTTGGATCTTTCCTGCTTTCTCTTGTGGGCATTTAGTGCTATAAATTTCCCTCTACACACAGCTTTGAATGTGTCCCAGAGATTCTGGTATGTTGTGTCTTTGTTCTCGTTGGTTTCAAAGAACATCTTTATTTCTGCCTTCATTTCGTTATGTACCCAGTATTCATTCAGGAGCAGGTTGTTCAGTTTCCATGTAGTTGAGCGGTTTTGAGTGAGTTTCTTAATCCTGAGTTCTAGTTTGATTGCACTGTGGTCTGAGAGATAGTTTGTTATCATTTCTGTTCTTTTACATTTGCTGAGGAGAGCTTTACTTCCAACTGTGTGGTCAATTTTGAAATAGGTGTGGTGTGGTGCTGAAAGAAATGTATATTCTGTTGATTTGGGGTGGAGAGTTCTGTAGATGTCTGGTAGGTCTGCTTGGTGCAGAGCTGAGTTCAATTCCTGGATATCCTTGTTGACTTTCTGTCTCGTTGATCTGTCTAATGTTGACAGTGGGGTGTTTAAGTCTCCCATTATTAATGTGTGGGAGTCTAAGTCTCTTTGTAGGTCACTCAGGACTTGCTTTATGAATCTGGGTGCTCCTGTATTAGGTGCATATATATTTAGGATAGTTAGCTCTTCTTGTTGAATTGATCCCTTTACCATTATGTAATGGCCTTCTTTGTCTCTTTTGATCTTTGTTGGTTTAAAGTCTGTTTTATCCGAGACTAGGATTGCAACCCCTGCCGTTTTTTGTTTTCCATTTGCTTGGTAGATCTTCCTCCGTCCTTTTATTTTGAGCCTATGTGTGTCTCTGCATGTGAGATGGGTTTCCTGAATACAACACGCTGATGGGTCTTGACTCTTTATCCAGTTTGCCAGTATGTGTCTTTTAATGGAGCATTTAGTCCATTTACCTTTAAAGTTAATATTGTTGTGTGTGAATTTGAACCTGTCATTATGATGTTAGCTGGTTATTTTGCTTGTTAGTTGATGCAGTTTCTTCCTAGTCTCGATGGTCTTTACATTTTGGCATGATTTTGCAGTGGCTGATACCGGTTGTGCCTTTCCATGTTTAGTGCTTCCTTCAGGAGCTCTTTTAGGGCAGGCCTGGTGGTGACAAAATCTCTCAGCATTTGCTTATCTGTAAAGTATTTTATTTCTCCTTCACTTATGAAGCTTGGTTTGGCTGCATATGAAATTCTGGGTTGAAAATTCTTTTCTTTAAGAATGTTGACTATTGGCCTCCACTCTCTTCTGGCTTGTAGAGTTTCTGCTGAGAGATCCACTGTTAGTCTGATGGGCTTCCCTTTGTGGGTAACCCGAACTTTCTCTCTGGCTGCCCTTAACATTTTTTCCTTCATTTCAACTTTGGTGAATCTGACAATTATGTATCTTGGAGTTGCTCTTCTCGAGGAGTATCTTTGTGGTGTTCTCTGTATTTCCTGAATCTGAATGTTGGCCTGCGTTGCTAGATTGGGGAAGTTCTCCTGGATAATATCCGGCAGAGTGTTTTCCAACTTGGTTCCATTCTCCCTGTCACTTTCAGGTACACCAATCAGATGTAGATTTGGTCTTTTCACATAGTCCCATATTTCTTGGAGGCTTTCTTCATTTCTTTTTATTCTTTTTTCTCTATACTTCCCTTCTCACTTCATTTCATTCATTTCGTCTTCCATCGCTGATACCCTTTCTTCCAGTTGATCGCATCATCTCCTGAGGCTTCTGCATTCTTCACGTAGTTCTCGAGCCTTGGCTTTCAGCTCCATCAGCTCCTTTAAGCACTTCTCTGTATTGATTATTCTAGTTATACATTCGTCTAAATTTTTTTCAAAGTTTTTAACTTCTTTGCCTTTGGTTTGAATTTCCTGCTGTAGCTCGTAGTTTGATTGTCTGAAGCCTTCCTCTCTCAACTCGTCAAAGTCATTCTCCGTCCAGCTTTGTTCCATTGCTGGTGAGGAACTGCGTTCCTTTGGAGGAGAAGAGGTGCTCTGCTTTTTAGAGTTTCCAGTTTTTCTGCTTTGTGGTTTTATCTACTTTTGGTCTTTGATGATGGTGATGTACAGATGGGTTTTTGGTGTGGATGTCCTTTCTGTTTGTTAGTTTTCCTTCTAACAGACAGGACCCTCAGCTGCAGGTCAGTTGGAGTTTGCTAGAGGTCCACTCCAGACCCTGTTTGCCTGGGTATCAGCAACGGTGTCTGCAGAACAGTGGTTTTTCGTGAACCGCGAATGCTGCTGTCTGATGGTTCCTCTGGAAGTTTTGTCTCAGAGGAGTACCCTGCCGTGTGAGGTGTCAGTCTGCCCCTACTTGGGCGTGCCTCCCAGTTAGGCTGCTCAAGGGTCAGGGGTCAGGGACCCACTTGAGGAGGCAGTCTGCCCTTTCTCAGATCTCCAGCTGCGTGCTGGGAGAACCACTGCTCTCTTCAAAGTTGTCAGACAGGGACATTTAAGTCTGCAGAGATTACTGCTGTCTTTTTGTTTGTCTGTGCCCTGCCCCCAGAGATGGAACCTACAGAGGCAGGCAGGCCTCCTTGAGCTGTGGTGGGCTCCACGCAGTTGGAGCTTCCAGGCTGCTTTGTTTACCTAAGCAAGCCTGGGCAATGGCGGGCGCCCCTCCCCAAGCCTCACTGCCGCCTTGCAGTTTGATCTCAGACTGCCGTGCTGGCAATCAGCGAGACTCCATGGGCGTAGGACCCTCCGAGCCAGGTGCAGGATATAATCTCCTGGTTCGCCGTTTTTTAAGCCCGTTGGAAAAGCGCAGTATTCGGGTAGGAGTGACCCGATTTTCCAGGTGCCATCTGTCACCCCTTTCTTTGACTAGGAAAGGGAACTCCCTGACCCCTTGCACTTCCCGAGTGAGGCAATGCCTCGCCCTGCTTCGGCTCGCGCACGGTGCGCACACCCACTGACCTGCACCCACTCTCTGGCACTCCCTAGTGAGATGAACCCGGTACCTCAGATGGAAATGCAGAAATCACCCATCTTCTGCGTCGCTCATGCTGGGAACTGTAGACTGGAGCTGTTCCTATTTGGCCATCTTGGCTCCTCCTCCTGTTTTTGTTTTTTTTTAATTGAGACAGAGTCTCACTCTGTCACCCAGGCTGGAGTGCAGAGGCACGATCTCAAGCTTACTGCAACCTCTGCCACTGAGATTCAAGTTAGTCTCCTGCCTCAGCCTCCCAACATACCTAAGTATTTTGCTGAATTGCTCTGGGTGCTGGACTGAGCAAACTTAATAAAATAAAACTAAATGAATATGGATTCAATCACTTTTTACATTTTCATTAGTTTTGTGGTTTCAGTCCTGCTTGTTATCTTATTCAAAGGAGAATATAAGGTCTAGTAATAAATATAAAGTACAAGATTCATTTTAGCATAAATTTAATTATGTTATATAATGTTTTTTTCTTGTAATACAGAATACAATTTTGGCAGAGAAAAGATATGGAATATACAGTTACTTCTCAATCAGCCATTTGTAATACATTTTCTTTTCACTCTCCATGCTTTCCTGATAACTGGCCTCAAATCCATTTTTCTTTAATATGTGACATCTTCAGGAGATATCATGATTTTTTTTCAGATTTTACTAATGTACTTGTCTCAATGAGAAGGCCTTTAAGGTTGAATACTGCATCTGCATTTTTGTGGTGCTCAATGCACAAACCATACAAACCATACAAAGTGGAAGATTGAGATTAATCACTGAATGAAAAAATATAATGAAGAAAAGCCATGAATTCATGTCTACTGGCTACATGAGTCAATAGGAAGCAAGAATTAATTCTCTCCTGCTAAAACTTGAGCTGAGACTTATGTGTGAAAAACATGCACTGTGGAAAAATATTGTGCTGAATCCTTTGCCTCTCGATTATTATTATTTTTATATTAGTAGTAGTGCAAACTAATTATTGCCTTTATATTCTGAAAGACCAGGGTATGAGAAATAGAATTTATTAGTTCTAATCATGCATATTAAAGCTGATTAGATTACCAAAATATATTCAGGTGATATAGTAGGTATTCCTCAATAGCTGAAAAGTTTAGTACCTCATTTTTGAGAAAGCTGAAGATTACAGAAGAGCTCTTCTTCTCAGAATGTTGTTAATTGCAATTTTGGTACAAATTTTTTAATTCTCCCATGTCCATCAACTTTACAATGTAACCTCACAGTCCATTAGAACTGGGATCAAGTTGACATGGCCCATTGCTTTACACTGGACTATACAATGTGACTTGACTGTACAATGTGACTATTCCATTCTCCAGTGGTGTGTTAGATTGTGTACTGGGTTTTGCTCTCTTGTGTCTCTGTCATCACCATGAAATCATGCCCAGACTAATCTACTGAAAGATGAAAGACATGTGTAGCATAGCCAAATTATCAAAGTAGCCCTAGCCAAAACCAATGTAAATCAGCAAACATTTAGCTGTTTTAAGTGAGCCTGCAACATAAGACTGAGGCTAAAATATGGGAGTGAGCAAAATTAGATCACAAAACCTGACCAGCTGATTATAGCCTAGATTGTCAACATGGGGACTAGTGGTTTAAGTAAATGCTGAAATGCTAAGCCACTGAATTTGAGTAATAGATAACATGGGCATAAAAGTCCTAATGTTTAATTACAAATCTATGCACAAAGTGAGATGTATTTCCCAACACTGCATCTTTTTATCTTAGGAAGTAATTATAATATTTGTTGCAAAATTTAAAGTAATATGATTTAAAATACAAAATCAGTCTTGTGTTGAAATAAAAGATACTTAATTTAATAAAGAGCATTTTTTGTATTGATCCTAAAGGCAATTTCATTTTTAAATGAAAAGAGCATTTTAAAAAGAGCATTTTTTTGTATTGATCGTAAAGGCAATTTCATTTTTAAGGGAAAATTATTACACTACAATGAGAATGAAGCAAAAAGGAATCCTAGAATTTTATTCCTGACATGAATTATTCATGTCAGGAAGATGATGGTCAAGAAAGCTCCAAGTCCTCATTTCCCCATGTACACATAAAATTAAAAACTACAGATGACTAAAATAACTTTATAGGACCTCTGGAAACCAAATACCTACAGCAATCAAGGAAATACCCAATCAAGAAAAAGCCATATTCAAAATGGTAGGAAATTTCATGATATTTCTACCTATCCTTGTTCCACCATTCCCCAGCATGCAAGATATAATACAATGGAAACAGCCTAATATCCATTCTCTGTCAGGATGGAAGAAACAGAGTGAAACTTGATTGAAATGTTCTGGCCTGTCTGTGAGTTGCCCTATTGACTGGTTTCCCTCTCACCTAACCTGGAGGCTCAGACAGTGAATGAGGGCATTGTTTGGATCTCAGGCTGGAAACTGCAAAAAGCCGTGATGGTCACTGAGGTACAGGAAAACTTCAGACCTGCAGCTCTCTGGGAGTAAAACATTACAGGTAGAAGGATACAATAGAGTATCTAAGGCCCTTGGAAGAGACTGGGATGAGATTTTTTTGGGGGAATTAAGACATTTAAAAGCAGTGAGGGAAATAAAAATGAATACATAGATACATAAGTAAAGCACATGCACAGGCCCAGACAGGACCCAGGCCCAAAAGACCCATTAAAATTTTGAGCATTTACCCCAAGCTGATCTGCAGACTCAGGGACCTGTTAATTACTGAAGGTCTTCTATGCCACTCTACAAAGACTAGGAGAAGTAGTTATTTTTTTTAAATGCTCAGTTTTCAACAAAAGACCACAGCATAAAGAGGGAAGTACAGCCTATTCAAAGGAACAAAATAAATCTCCATTAAAAGCCCTAGAAGAAACACCACTATAATACTCATTAGAAAAAGAATTTTAAATAACTGTCTTAAATATGTTCGGAGAACTAAAGGAAAACAGCAACAAAGATGTAATATCAAAAAATACGTGGAAATCATAAAAAGAAGAACCTAATAGAAATTCAAGAGCTGAAAAAAATAGTAGAAAGAAATCACTAGCAAGATTCAATGACGGAAATAAGCAAAAGAAATAACAAATTTGAAGACAGGTCATTTTAAAACTATAAATCTGAAGAACAAAAGAAAGCTTATTAAGAAAATAATAAAGCCCAAGGGGCTTATAGAATATCATCAAGTGTACCAAATTTATATTAGGTGAGTGCAAATATATTTGCAGTTTTTACATTATTGGAGTCTGAGGAAAAGAAGAGAGAAAGGGAACGAAAGAACATTTGAAGAAATAATGGCTGAAAACTTCCCAAATTTGACATAAGACATGGATATACAAATTCAAGAAAATAAACTTCAAAATAGATCTAAGGAAAATCACACTGCATCACACAAACTGTTGAAAGACGAGAATCTTGAAAGAAACAAGAGAAAACGATGGGTTACTTACAAGGGATATTCAATAAGCCTATCAGCAGATTTCTCAGCAGAAACTCACAGGCCTGAGGCAATGTGATGATGCATTTAAAGTATTGAAAGAATAAAAAAATTCAGCTGAGAATTCTATTGCTGACAAAGCTGTCCTTCAAAAATTAGGGGGAATTTAAGAAATTCCAAGATAAACAAAAGCTGAGGGAGTTTATTACTAACTAGCCTTTCCCTACAAGAAATATAAAAGTGATTTTTTTCAAGTTTAAATAAGAGGGAAAGGGGCAAAACAGTAACTCCAAGATATGTGAAAGTATAAAGTTCTTCAGTAAAGTTAAATACATGGGCAGGTATTAAAGTCCTACTGCAATTTTGGTTTATAACTCAACCTTATGCTTTTTTACAAGATTCAAAAAGGAAATTCACCAAAAATGATTACATATCTATGTTGATTGATACACAATTTATAAATAGGCAATTTGTGACATCAATAAATAAAGTGTTGGTAAAGAGATAGAGCTGGGAGGAAATAGAGATTTGGCTGTAACTGAAGTTGAGTTGATATCAATTTAAAATTGATGATCAGAATTTTAGGATGTTACATGCAATCCCCATGGTAACTACAAAGAAGAATACATAAATTATACACAAAGGGAAATAAGAAGCAAATAAAAATATTTCACCACAGTGAATCAATACAAAGGAAGGCGAGGGAGGAAATGAGGGACGAAATGGCTGTAAGACATACAGAAAACAAAGAACATAATGGCAAAAGCATATACTTCCATATTAGTAGTTACTTTAAATGAAAATGGGTTTAGTGTCCAAATTAAATATCATAGGTTGGCAAAATAAAGGATCCAACTCTATTTTGTTTACAACAGATTTACTTAGATGTGAGAACACAACTGTAAAGTGAAAGAAGGAAAGAGGTATTTCATACAAATAGTAACCAAGATAGAGCAGGAGTAGATGTTGTAATATAACACAAAATAGACTTTAAGTCAAAAACTTCTACAAGAGACAAAGAGAACAGTATTAAGTGTTAATTCATTGAAGTGCTAATTCATCAAGAAAATATAATCATAAACATATAGGCACCAAATATCAGAGCTCCAAAATACATTAAACAGCATTAATAAAATTGAGCAAAATAGATAGTTCTACTAGTAGGAGACTTTAATACTTCATTTGCAATAATGGATAGAACAACCAGACAGAACATCAATGAGAGAAAAGAGAACCTGAACAATACTACAGACCAATAGGAACTAACAGAAATATATAGAATACTCCACTCAACAAAAGAATTTATATTTTTCTCAAGTGTTTTGTCCCTTACGCTTCAACACAAAATGTCTCGATACAGAGTCTGTTGCAGGAAGTCAGGGACCCTGAACGGAGGGACCGGTTGAAGCCATGGCAGAAGAACGTGGATTGTGAAGATTTCATGGACATTTATTAGTTCCCCAAATTAATACTTTTATAATTTCTTATGCCTGTCTTTACTGCAGTCTCTAAACATAAATTGTGAAGATTTCATGGACACTTATCACTTCCCCAGTCAATACCCTTGTGATTTCCTATGCCCATCTTTGATCTCTTAATCCTATCATCTCATAAACTGAGGAGGATGTATGTCGCTTCAGGACCCTGTGATGATTGCGTTAACTGCAAAAATTGCAGCGCATATGTGTTTGAACAATATGAAATCTGGGCACCTTGAAAAACGAACAGGATAACAGCAATGTTCAGGGAACAAGAGAGATAACCTTAAACTCTGACCGCCGGTGAGCCGGGTGGAACAGAGCCATATTTCTCTTCTTTCAAAAGCAAATGGGAAAAGAAAAATCACTGAATTATTTTTCTCAGCAAGGAACATCCCTGAGAAAGAGAATGCACCCCTGAGGGTAGGCCTCTAAAATGGCCCCCTTGAGTGTGGCCGTCTTCTATGGTTGAGCTGTAGGGATGAAATAAGCCCCAGTCTCCCATAGCACTCCCAGGCTTATTAGGATGAGGAAATTCCCACCTAACAAATTTTGGTTAGACTGGTTGCTCTCAAACCCTGTCTCCTGATAAGATGTTATCAATGACAATGGTGCCCGAAACTTCATTAGCAATTTTAATTTTGCCCCGGTCCTGTGGTCCTGTGATCTTGCCCTGCCTCCATTTGCCTTGTGATATTCTTTTACCTTCTGAAGCACGTGATCTCTGTGACCCACACCTTATTCATACACTCCCTCCCCTTTGAAAATCACTAATAAAAACTTGCTGGTTTTGTGGCTTGTGGGGCATCACGGAAGCTACTGACATGTGATGTCTTCCCCAGATGCCCAGCTTTAAAATTTCTCTCTTTTGTACTCTGTTCCTTTATTTCTCAACCCGGCCAACACTTAGGGAAAATAGAAAAGAACCTACCTAACTATTGGGGGCAGGTTCCCCGATAAGAGTCTACTAACTGTGCATGCCTCCCCACTCTCCCCCACCTCTGCCTGTCTAACTCTTTACTTCTTGCAGAGTCCCATGAGCAGGTAAATTAAAGCAGAGTCTTCTGCCTGCTAAATTAAAAGTAGTAATAATGACGCTGGGTAAGCTGTAGTATATTGTTTGTCTGAAAGAATGATACTCCTATCAGAAAATGATCTTCAATTCTATTAAAAAAACTTAGCAGTAGTGAGAAATCAAATTAACAGCTTTGTGGATGCTTTGCTACTGAGAGAGCATACATTAATAAAAAGCAGGAAGGTTTGACATATTTTAATATGGATTTTATATCTGAAGTCCTTATTTCCCTTCATGGCTGCAGTTTTACACCTGGTCCATAAAGCCTAGGCCAGTGATGTGTACCTTAAACACTACACATCACATTACTATTAGTGCAGTTTCCAAGAGCTTGTATGTAACTTTGTCTGCAATGAAGTTACCTTAACATAAACATTAGCATATTTATATACAATACCAAGATTTGGGGCAAAAATTGTATAAAGTTAAAGAAAATGCATATAAAAAAAAGCTTTCAAATAACAAGTGATTGATTCTTTTCTAAAGAACAAAGCTTTTCCCAACAATTGGAAAAGGATGTTAGTAAAGCTTGGATTGACCAGAAATGAACATCTGTGACTACATTGCAATGGTCAATAACCTCTCGTGCTTTTAGTTGAGCCTTCAGGGAACAGAAATTATCTTTTTAAATTAACAAGTAATAATTTTACATTTTCATGGGGTACATAGGATGTTTTGACACATATAAAGTATAGCGAACAGATCAGGGCAGAAATGATCTTTAACCAGTATCACATGTTAAAAATGTAAGCCCGGCTGGGCGCGGTGGCTCACACCTGTAATCCCAGAACTTTGGGAGGCTGAGGCAGTTGGATCACGAGGTTAGGAGATTGAGACCATCCTGGCTAACATGGTGAAACACTGTCTCTACTAAAAATACAAAAAAATTAGCCGGGCGTGGTGGCAGTTGCCTGTAGTCTCAGCTGCTGGGGAGGCTGAGGCAGGAGAATGGCATGAACCCGGGAGGTGGAGCTTGCGGTCAGCTGAGATTACGCCACTGCACTCTAGCCTGGGCGACAGAGCGAGACTCCGTCTCAAAAACAAAAACAAAAAAAAAGCAAGCCCATGGCCTTTTTCAATAAACAAGTAAAATATTTCCAGTTGCTCAGAAATCTACTTTTGCAAATCCTTTTGTTTAGCACTTGTTCTTAATTTATCATGCCACTTGCACATGTCATATACTTGGTTCACACTAATATTATCTGTATTAGAGTTTTGTAGTTTAGGAGAATCTTTGTTTGCTTATGGTGACTTGATTTCTGACAAAAACTATAGAAGTAGTGCATAAATGATAAAGTTCGATGCTTTTGTGATCAGTTTTCTTCAGTTTTATCAACTGTTGAATTTTGCCTCATATTGAACTCACACCTTTTGTGTGTGTGTGTGTGTGTGTGTGTGTGTGTTTTAGCTGTGACTGTGGCTAAACAATAGAAACACTTAAGGAAGGGGACTAATAGTTAAAATGAACATTTAAAAAATACTGCGTTGGTGGTATAAATAATTTTTCACATTTGTCAATGCTTAAAAAACTACACACTAAAAATAGAACCTTTTACTGCAAGTCAATTACACATCAATTAAAAATAACTAAACAAAAAAAGAAACCAGATTTTTTAGTAGATATTGAGCTTAATGGCCAATTTCTCATTCAAAATATTTTTTACCATAAATATGTGTGTGTGTGTTAATTGTATGTGTGTGTGTCGACTATGTTTGAAAATAACATTTACCCTCCAGCTAGCTAACTTGACAATATATGGAAAGTTTTTATGGAGTCTCAGTCTGTACCCATATACTCCTTTTCTACCAGGCCCCAGTGGATTTGATAACTGCTTATTCAAGGTGTGTACAGTTGGCTGGCTGTACTTGGATGTAAAAAGCATTTGTAGATTCAAATAACTAGGTCAAAAATATTTGAGAAAAAATACAATAACAAGACAACAGTAAAAATAATACAAATAAAAACAGTATATCAATGTTTTACATAGCATTTACATTTTATTAGCTATTATAAGTAATCTTGAGATGATTCAAATTGTATGCAAGAAGGTGCATAAGTTATATGCAAATACTACACCATTTTATGCAAGAAACGTGAACATCTGTAGGTTTTGGTATCTGCATGGGTCCTGAAATCAATCCCCTGCTGATACCAAGGGACAACTGCATTTTCAACTATGAAATCTAGATTGTAATTCTCTTCTTTTTACACCAAACAATCCACAAATAAACAATTGCTCTTCTTAAGCTTTTATCTCCCTCACAGCTGCAAGCTCCTTGAGGAAAGAATCTGAATTTCATTGCCATTTTTCTAGGGTTTAACACCAGGCTTGTGAATAAATGCTTAATACATGTTTGATAAATAGCTTTACGCACAAATGAAAGACAAGGGTACGGAATTATGGAGACTATTATAAATCTCATAATTTTTCTTCTTTTGCATTACCCTCAATTTGTACTTATAAACTATTTTTTATATAAAGTGACACCTTAATTGTTAGGATAGCATAATTATTGCAAGGGTGTACCTCAGAATTACATATAACTGAGTTTATATTCTAGATCTGCTTAAAGGTATGTGGGTATTTAGTGTCTATAAACATTGGTTTCCCCACCTGGAAATAATTATTGTCATAAACGTAAATGTACAAATAAAATGAATCTCTTAAGTAAATGTAATAATAAAAATGAATCTCCTAAGCACACTGCCAGGCACTTAGCAAATGCTTGATTCAAGACAGACATTGTTATTTCTCTCATGAAATCCACTAAAAAACCTATTTCTATATAAATAAGTTTTATAAAAATAGAATGTAGTATATTTTTCCCTTCACATTTTTTTTCTATAGTGGCTTACATTTTCATTCAAAATCTTTACACAGAAGTTAACATTCACATAAAGAAGAGTTATCAGCAATCTGGTGTTTGACATATAGATATCTTAATGATAGTGAATATCTGCCATTTATTTCAGTTGCTACATGTTTACAATTAAATACATTTTGAATTAGATTTTCAAGCCTCAAGCAGGTATTAATTGCTAATCATTTCATTCATTTGTTTAGATAGAATCAATTCTTGAAAAGTGCAGTTGAAATTCAAGGAGCAGATAGATCCTTATCTATTAAAGAAAAGTGGACCATGCTTCTTTGTTATCTTAGTTACTATAAAAGTAAAAAATTCCTAGCAAGATGTTTGCCTTTGGAGGAGGCAAACGAAGAATGTGAGAAGGAGAGCATCTGGGTAAAAGGTACAGAGCTTGTGACACTTTATGTGAATATGGAAATTAGACCTTTAGCTCTATATCAAGCATTTAATATTCTCATACAACTCCCAATTTCTGACTATGAGAAAGAAGAAATTCAGAATCTGGAGCATTGGTTCTTAATATTGACAGCATTTTAGAATTATTTAGGAAACTTTAAAAACTACTGATTTTGTATGTCCTGTCTCTAGAGATTCTGATTTAATTCACATGAGGTGTGGCCTGGGCACTGGGCTTGTTACAAGCTCCTTGAGTGATTCTTAAATGCATTCAAGTTTGAGAACCACTGACCTAAAGAAAAGGGAATGAGGCCGAGTTCAAGTAAATACTACAAAGTGTCTTCCCCAGTACCCGTTTGGAATAAGAAAAGAAGTAGTAAAATATGGTGATTTCCATGTGAGTAGGTAACTTTAGTTTACATAGTATGTTTCTTGATGATGTAACTTGACACCTTTCATCAACAGCGTTGTGACAAATTTTCTAAAAAGCTTATTTAGCTCACTCAGATTTTTCCTTTTCTAAATTAACCTATTCCAAAACATATTAGTCTGCAGTGTGACTATAATTTGGGCAATTTAAAGAACAATGTTTTCTGCCATAAGTAGTGGACACCAGAGGGGAAATTATGATATTCAAATTATAATTTCATCTATACAATAAGACAGCATAGCTAATCTTTCACCTTTAAAAAATTCAAATATTTTTGACAACATACTAAATAGTACAGTATGAAGTGGATCTACTTATATTTCTTTCCTGATGTCAGAAAAAATTGTCTATTTTACAAGTGATATTCATGGTAAAAATTCCAAATATATGGGGATCATTACAATTCTTGTTCTCCACACCTCTGATTTCTGTATTAAAGTCCATTAAAAAGCACGAAGGTGATGTATAGTGTGCCCTCAAAGCTTTCAGAGTGAATAATATCCAGCTTTTCTGGTGCTTAACACACTGCCTAGTGATAACAGTAATGATGAATTTCTATGCAGACTCCCTCAGATATTAGGAAAATGGTTTCCCTTAACTCATATTAGATGCTCAAGTTTTACATCAGTTGGCTGCCTCTGAGAAATACCCCTTAAGAGCCAAAAATATTACTTCACTTAGACAACTGTAGGTATTTTGCAAACAACACACCATGACTGGGAATTGCAAATGTAAAGTAAAATAAATAAATGTGCTCCTTGTAGGTCTGGGCTTTGTGTTAGGCAGGGAAATACTAACATGGTTTAAACTAGAGCTGTATCTCAATTTTATGAGCACCTGATTTTGTAGCCACAGTAAAGTGTTTGACAGATTTGTATCCACACTGCTTACAAAAATATTCCGTACTCTGAGCTTGCCAATAAAAGAGAGTCTTTATTTGAGAAGTTCAGACTAAAGTTGGGATGGATAAAAGAAGTAGAATAATGCCAACATAAAGAACAACAAAATAATTGCAATGTGTTCAATATATCTAACAACTAGTAGCTCAATTTTGTTATTTTACTCAGGGAGATATAAAACACACAAAGATCCTTTATGGTCACCCATCTTATAATCTATGTCATTTCCTTTCACCTTTGCTGAAATGACCTTAGTGCATTCTTAACATTTTCACATACAAAATACTACCATAAGGATGTCATTCTTCCTGCCTCTTTATTCACAATCATCTTGTATGCTACTGTTAGATTTTAAATCATATACATTATTCATCTCACCTATTTAATTAAAAATACTTTTATTAAACATTAAGTTCCATACACTATATGAAATATATAGAATATAATGGGAAATAAATGACAGTTTTACTGCCTTCAATGTCTTTATAGTCTCAACATAAAAACTTGGTTTAAAAAAAAAAAGTACTACAAACTTAATTTCAGAACTCTGTTACTGCTCATTGGAACCATTTATTTTAATATTGCCCAGTTACAGTTTTCAATTAGGAAATGTGAAAACTAATATTATTTCCAATAGGATTAACTAGAGCATTAAGAAGATAACTTTTGGAAATTATCTGGCACATTGGAGTGGTCTAAAGGTGGCATTTGACTTTGATGTACATTTTCAAGTACTCCCATTTTCTACTGGATAAAGTCATATAAGAGCATGTCAGCAATACATTTTTCACACAGTGCTTTATCATTTCCCTATAAATATCTTCAATTTTAGTCTGATTGGTCTAATGTCCATCATCTTAAATATACTGGTACATTTTTTCGTTTTTTGTTTTGTTTATGTTATCTTCCCAAAGTATAACTGTTTCCATCTTCTGTGAGATTCTTCTCCATAACTTGATGTAAACTATGTTCTTTCTTTGATCTGAAAGTCTGTATAATTACTTTTCTGTACCTGTTCCTTCTCAAATCATATACTTTGATAATGTCATAATGGATCCTGCTACAGTATCCAAAGACTAACCTATTCTAGAGCAGAAACAAGCAACTCTCTGCACCTCTTTTACTACTGTATATATGGAAGGAATTATGAGGTATCTGTTGATTGACCCATTACACACAAAATAATGATTAAAATAAAATAGTGAATCTGCTTGTAACCTGATGTCATATGGTATAGAGTGAAGAAAAATGTACTAGGTTGCACAATAAAAAATGCATTGAAGTTGAAATGAATGGTCTGAGTCTAGAGGTCTATGTCTATTTTTAGTAACATGACATCATCTAGATGTTTGCCCCTCCAAATCTCATGTTGGAATGTAATCCTCGACGTTGTAGGTGGGGCAGGGAGGGAGGTGTTTGGATCATAAGAGTGAATCCCTCATGAATGACCTGGTGCCGTCCTCATGAGATCTAGTTGTTTAAAAGTGTGTGGCACCTCCCCACTCTCTCTCTTGCTCCTGCTTTTCCTATGTAAAATGCTGGCTCCCTGCGGCCTTCTGCCATGATTGTAAGCTTCCTGAGGCCTCACCAGAAGCAGATACCAGAACCATGCTACTTATAAAGCCTGCAGAACTATGAGCCAATTAAACCTTTTTTTCTTTATAATTTACCCAGCCTCAGGTATTTCTTTATAGTAATAAAATGGCCTAACACAGAATATTGGTACTCAGGGATGGGACATTGCTATAAAGATACCTGAAAATGTGGAAGTGGGTAATGGGAAGAGGTTTGAAGAGTTTGGAGGGCTTAGAAGAAGACAGGAAGATAAGGGAAAGTTTGGAACTTCTTAGAGACTTGTTAAACGGTTGTAAGCAAAATGTTCATAGAAATATGGACAGTGAAGGCCAGGCTGATGAGGTCTCAGATGGAAAAAAGAAAGTTATTGGAGACTAGAGTAAAGATCACCCACGTTATACCTTAGCAAAGAGCTTGGCACATTGTGTTTATGCTCTAGGGATCTATGGAAGTTTGAATTTAAGAATGATGTCCTACAGTATCTGGTGGAAGAAATTTCTAAGAAATGTGTTCAAGATATGGCTTGGCTGCTTCTAACAGCCTATGACCAAATACAGGAGCAAATACATGACCTAAATTTGAAACATCTATTTAAAAGGGACACAATATCAGTTTGGAAAATTTGCAGCCTGGCAGTATGGTAGAGAAAAAATCTAAACAGGCTGTGGAGCAACCATTTGTTAAAGAGATTAATATGAGTAAAAGTGCTAATATCCAAGACGGTAGCAAAAAGGCCTCAAAGATATTTCAGGAATCTTCTAGGTTGTCCCTGTCATCACAGGCCCAGAGGCCTAGGAGGAAAGAATGGCTTGAAGGTCTAGGTCCATGGCACCAATGACCTGTGCCACATTGGGAGGATGCTTCTCACATCTTGACTGCTACAGCTATAGCTGTGTCTCGAAGGCCCCAGGTACAGCTCAGGCTGACACTCTGGAGGGCACACCCATAAGGCTTAATGGCTTTCATGTGATATTGAGCTTGTGGGTGCACAGAATGCAAAAATGAAGGAGGCTTGGTGGCTTCCACTTAGATTTCAGAGGATATGTGAGATAGCCTGGGTGCCCAAGCACACTCTTGCTGCAGGAGTAGAGCCCTCACAGATAATCTCTACTAGGGCAATGACTAGAGAAAATATGGGTTGGCATTCCCACACAGAGTCCCCACTGGGGCACTGCCTAGTGGAGTTTTGAGAAGGAGGCTGCTGCCAGAAGTTAGAATGGTAGATATACCAGCAGCTTTCACCCTGTACCTCAAAAAGCCACAGACACTTAATTCCAACCTGTGAGGACAGCTGTGGGGGCTACAGCCTACAAAACCACAGGGGCTGAGCTGTCCAACACCTTGGGAGCCCACCACCCCTTGCAGCAATGTGCTCTAGATGTGGGCCATGGAGTCAAAAGAGATTGTTTTGGAACTTTAACATTTAGTGATATTCCTGCTAGGTTTCAAACTTGCATGGAGCCTATTGCCCTTTTCTTTTGGCCAATTTCTTCCCTTTGGAATGGTAATGTTTACCCAAGGCCTGAACTACCATTGTATTTTGAGTACATAACTTGTTTTAATTTTGCAGGCTCATAGGTAAACGGAAGTGTGTCTCAGGTGTAACTTAGGACCTTAGACTTGATGCTGGAATGGGTTAAGACTTTTGGGGACTATTGGCAGGGGATGGCTATATTTTTCCATGTGAAGAGGATGTAATATTTGGGGGCCAGCAGTGGAATAATATAGTTTGCACGTTGGTTCTTCTGCCCAAATATCATGTTGAAATGTAATTCCCAGTGGTGGAGGTGGGGCCTGGAAGGAGTGGGGCCTGGAAGGAGATGGGTCATGTGGGCAGACTACTCCTGAATTTCTTGGTGCTGTCCTTATGATAGTGAGTTCGTTCTTGTGAGATCTGGTTGTTTAAAAGTGTGTGGAACCTCCCCACTCTTTCTCTCTTACTCCTCCTTTCACCATGCTGGCTTTCTGTGGCCTTCTGCCATGATTGTATGCTTCCTGAGGCCTCACCAGAAGCAGATGCCAGCACCATGTTTCCTGTATAGCCTTCAGAACCATGAGCCAATTAAAACTTTTTTTGTTTATAAATTAGGCAGTCTCAGGTGTTTCTTTATAGCAGTGCAAGAATGGCCTAATACAAAAAACAACAAAGAAATGTAAAATAAGGCATAGTTGAAGAGAAGGGATCATTAATCATGCTTTGGAGAAGACAATCATGTTGTGTGTTCCTTTCTTGGAACATTTGTATACCTGCCAAGTTACAGTGATATGAATATGTTTCATATGGACATGCCAAACTTCTTAATGATAAAGGACTTGTTTTCTTTTTCCCTTACATCTTTTATTCTCTTTCCACTTCTCTCAACAATACACACTCTTCCTTTCTCTCTGCCTGTTACATAGTAAAGTATCTGGCACGTGACAGTTGTTCAGTTGGCTCAAGAATTAAGTAGCTAATGATTGAGGAGTACATGAGAAGAATAAAAAATTTTTTTTCTTATTTTTTTTTTTTTTTTAGACAGAGTCTCACTCTGTCACCCAGGCTGGAGTGTAGTGGCATGATCTTGGCTCACTACAACCTCCACCTCTTGGGTCCAAGTGATTCTGGTGCCTCAGCCCCCCAAGTAGCTGGGACTACAGGCATGGTGATGCCCGGCTTTTTTTGTATTTTTAGTAGAGACTGGGTTTCACCACATTGGCCAGGCTGGTCTTGAACTCCTGACCTAAGTGATTCTCCTGCCTCGACCTCCCAAAATGCTGGGATTATAGGCGTGAGCCACCACACCCAGCCAAATCTTTCTAGATTGAAACATTAAAACCCAAACCACTGTTATTCTGATCCTTATTATAAATGTTAATTTCAAGCTAAGAAGTTTGCCTGAAACTCTCATTTGGGGGTTATTTTCAGTACAGATATTGAACTTTTAATTTTTCTCTCAAGAAATTCCAGAACTTTCCTCATGTCTTCTTAACTTGCTTGTTGACAAGGTGCAATGCTTGTCATTATATCTAATAGATTATTTGTGATATCTTACTTACCTCATTTGACTTCTTATTTTGAAAGACTTCTAAAACTAAAAAGAATCCTGTGCTATCTGTAAAATGAAACATGAAAAATGCTCCTTCAGTTCAATCATCAAATCCCATGCTCTGTCTGTAACCAGAAAACTGCTAAACACACTAACCCCACCAAGATGTTAAGCGTTTACAGGTCTGTTAAGTATTTTGGGACAAAAATATTTGTTATGTTATTTTAAAAGTACTTGTGGCAGTATCCACAGGTCTTCTAAGCTTGCCTCTTCCAGTGTGATACCACTTCCTATGAGCCAGAGATAGGACTATTTGGTCTATAGTATTCTCAATGGCATTGGATCCAAGGTAGAGCCTCCATCCCAAAATTGGGACAGAAGAAGAAAGCATCTACTTCTGTGCTACATTTGCCTGGAATGTAATCTTACCAATAAATTGCTGGGGACAGTATGAGAAATGCTGTCACCTTGATCATACTAGTAGAAAGCCGTCCTACTGAGAGCTGGAGAGAGAGAAAACTCTGTGTTCTTCGCCACACCAGATTGGAGTACAGTTTCTGTATTGCTGAGTTGGGAGCACAAAGAAAGTAGGTCTCAGTTTACATACTACAGATTCTCACTGTTCTTACCAAGTTTTAGCTGATTTTCTTGTATGGATGTTTCTTCATTTGCTGCATGCACATAAGACCATTTCCAGAGACTTTAAAATGTTTGTTTTTGTTGTTTTGTTATTTTTAATTTCTACTAGTTTCACTGGGAAGTATGTCCATGGAGCTCCTCATGCTGTCATGGTGGAAGTGAAAGCCTTGAATCTAAATATGAAATTAAAAGTAACAATTATGGATGGTTATTTTAAAAAGTATTTTCTATAGAAATTACTGTAATCATAGAGCAATAAAATTGATTGAATCTCAGCATGATACTTTATGTGAAGAATAAGATTAATTCCTACTATGAAATGAAAAAAAGATGCTGAGATTTTAAACATCTGAGCTGCATTTTTAATAATTTCTCTTTCTAAATCAATGTCTTTTACCATTCATAAAAGCAATTAAAATTTTTCACTTTACTAAAATAAGTTACATTATTTCCAAAATTAAAAAAAAAACGTTTTTAAGTTTAAAATGTAAATTATAAATCAATTCATCTTTTAGGACTGGTCTGTCAAGGAGCTCCAAGCAAGGAAATTTCTTGAAAAATAAGAGAAAAGAGCATTCTGTATACTTCATGGCCTGGAGAAACTTAACTGCTTTGATTGAACAATTTAAGAAACATAAAATCATACAAATGATGTTACTTTAGGTGATCTAATATAAATTTCACATTTTAAAAGATGAGAATACTGTTTTCAAGTATGTGAAATTGTGGGTTGTTATATACAAATCTATAAATATGTTATTAACAGAATGTTAATATGTTAATATATAAATGTCCTTCATTAGCAGAATGAAGGACAAAAAACACATAAGGGCACATATGAAAAACCCACAGGTAACATTATATACTCAACAGTGGAAAACTGAAAGTTTTTCCTCAAGACCAGGAAGAAGACAAGCATTCCCACTTTCACCATTTCTGTTCAGTATAGTACCAAAAGTTTAACCAAAGCAGTTAGGCAAGAGAAAGAAATAAAAGGCATCTATATTAGAAAAAAGTTTTATTGTCTGTGTTAGCTGATGACATAATCACCCTAAAGAGTCCATCAGAAAATAGTAAGAACTAATAAGCAAATTCAGTAAAATTTCAGCATATAAAGTCAAAGAAAAATCGGTAGCATCTCTATCAGTGAACTATCAAAAAATAAATCTAGAAAAAAATCACATTTACAATAGAAAAAAACCTAAAAATGAATTTTAGGTGGAAGTAAAATATCTATACACTGAAGTTTATAAAACATTGATAAAAGATATTGAAGGCACAACTAAATAGAGATCGCCTATGTTCATGAATTAGAATATTGCTAAAATTTTCATACTACCCAAAGCAATTCCTGTTAAAATTCTAATTTGTTTAGAACCACAAAAGACCCCAAATAGCCAAAGCAATCTTGAGAAAAAAGAATAAACTGAAGGCATCACACTACCTGATTTCAAAATAAACATAAATTTATAATAACCAACACACCATTGTACAGTCATAAAGACCAACAAGTAGACTAGTGGAAGAGAATGGAGAACCCAGAAATAAATTCATCTATTTATAATCAATTAGTTTTTGACAAGATGCCAAGGACACACAATAAGGAAGACATAGTTTCTTTAACAAGTGGTGTTGAGAAAACTGGACATCCTCATCCAAAATAATAAAATTAGACTCATCTCACACCATATACAAAAATCAACTCAGAATGGATTAAGTCTCACTTATAAGACCTAAAACTGTAAAACCGCTAATAGAAAACAAAGAAAAAGCTTCATGATATTGATCTGGGCAATCATTTTTGCGTATGATCCAAAAAGCACAAGCAACATAAACAAACAGAAAAGACAAATGTGATTATATGAAATAAGACGCTTTTGCACAGAAAAAGATACAATCAACAGAGTGAAGAGACAAGCTACGACACGGGAGAAAATATTTTTAAACCATACATCTGACAAGGACTTAATATAAATTATGTGAGAAACTCAAACAACTCAACGGCAAGAAAACAAATAAAACAGTTAAAAAATGGGCAAAGGACCTGAACAGACATTTCTCAAAAGAAGGCATACAAATGACCAACAGGTAGATTTAAAAATTCTCAATATCACCAATCATCAGAGAAATGAAAATGAAAACCACAACGAGATACCTTAAACTTGTTACAATGGCTGTTATCAAAAAGACAAAAGATAAGTGTTGACAAGGATTGGAGAAAAGGGAATATTGGCACGCTGTTGGCATGTATGTAAATTAGTACAGCCATTATGGAAAACAGTATGGCAACTACTCAAAAATTTGAAATAGAACTACCATATGATTCAGCCAACTCTACTACTTGGTACATATGCAAAGGAAATAAAACCTGTATATTGAAGAGATATCTGCATTCCCATATTCATTCGGGCATTATTCACTATAGTCAATGTAATAATTGGTCAAAAGATTAATAAATTAGAAAATGTTATATATATACACATACACACACAGTGGAATACTGTTCAGCTTTAAAACAGAAGTACATCCGTGGTTTGTAACATGAATCAACCTGGAGAAAATTAAGTGAATAAGCCAGGCACAGAAAGACAAATACCGTGTGATCTTACTTTTATGTAGAATCTAAAAAAGTGAAACTAACAGAAGCAAAGAGTAGAATGTTGGTTACCAAAGGCGGGCAGATGAGGTAGTGTGTGGGTTGAGGAGATGTTGCTCAAAGGACACAAAATTTCACTTAGATAGGAGGTATAAGTTCAAGAGAGCTACTGTACAGCATGACGAGTACAATTAATAACGTATTATATTCTTGAAAATCAGTTAAAAAATAGATTTTAAGTGTTCTTGCTACAAAAGTGATACCTATGTGAGTTACTATTAGTTTGATGTAGCCATTCTGCAATGTATATATTTGAAAGCATCATGTTGTACATGATAAATACAATTTTTGTCAATTAAATAAATTAATCAACTAAGAATCATGCAGCCTGTCAAATTGCATATAAAATGACACATAATAGTCACGTCGAAACTCCCAATTCTGAGATAGTGATCTTGCTGTCATGTATTCTCATCATTCTTATTTCATATGTCAATTAAACACTCTGTCTCACACATTTGCTCATATTACATAAGTATAGCAGATCTTTACTATTTCCTTACATAGCTTTTTAAAAAATTATTTGAGTGACGTAATGTATTAGTCAGCTCTGGCTGCCTTAACAAAGTACCGTAGACTTGGTGGCTTAAACAACAGAATGAATTTTCTTACAGTTCTGGACACTGGGTGTCTATGATCAAGGTGTCAGCATAAATGATTTAAAGTGAGACCTCTCTTCCTGGCTTGCAGATGGCCATCTTAACAAGTTAGTTAAGATGCACGTATATACGAGTAACCATAACTCTTAGTAACAGGTCGCAGTTTTTTTTAATCTACAAAGGCTATTTGATTATATTATTTCTCAATAGATCTGATATATGAATTTATTGTGGACAACTCTGAATAGGAGACCAAAGGATTGTTTTATCTTTAATATTTTAAAAAAATATTTGGCCAGGCGTGGTGGCTCATGCCCGTGATTCCAGCACTTTGGGAGGCCAAGGCAAGTGGATCACCTGAGGTCAGGAGTTCGAGACCAGCCTGGCCAACATGGTGAAATCCGTCTCTGCTAAAAATACAAAATTATCCGGGCGGGCACCTGTAATCCCAGCTACTTGGTAGGCTCAGGCAGGAGAATCGCTTGAACCCAGGAGGTTGAAGTTGCAGTGAGCCAAGATTGTGCCACTGCACTGTAGACTGAGTGACAAGAATGAGACTCTGTCTCAAAAAAAAAAAAAGTTAAGTAAAGGAAAACCCAGACTATTTCAATCACAACCAAAGTATAGGTCAAAGCTTAAGAGTCCAGGGATTTTCTTTTACTTTTTTTTTTTTTTAAAAAAAAAACAACAAAAAACTAAAAAGCATATTTGTTTATGAAGGCCTTAGGCAAGGCTTGAAAAAGAATATCATTTCATTATTGATTTAAATATCTTTAGAAAGAGGTAAAAGATAAAGCCAAATTGGTAAGTTCCAACAATCTAAAAGCCTCTGAAAGCAATTTCCAGATGTTTTAGTGTAGCAAAATCTGAATTTACTCATTGAATACTAACTCATTTCCATGAGGTCTGTGACAGTTAATAAAGTTTATGGATTGACTTACTTATTTCCCAAATATGCAAAACCTGGTGCTTGAATACATATAAAACATTATGAAGAATAAATTACAAAATAAGATAGGTGAGATAATTTTTTTTCTTTTGTTGGGAGCTCGCAATAGAGTGAGGCATTTTACTGAGAAAGAGAAATAGAATAATGGGTTTCTATTGCAAAAGATCACAGAAAACTACAAAATAATGTTAAGTTTAAAAACTTGCATAGGGGATATGTTCAGGCATCAGGAGGATAGTGAGCCTTATATAGATTGTCTTTTTTGGCCTTGAATTAAGCTACTAAAGGAATAATTGCGTGGATGGCTAGTGAATAGAGAGCAGGATATCTATTCATATAATTCTTGGACAGATTTGAAGTAAACAGTGAGAATTTCCATTTCCAAAGGCTTAAAATAGAGAAAAAGGAAGTTGGTGAGTTTGGGGATCACTAGATGATAACAATATATTGAGTCTAACAGAAAATACATAGTTATGACTGTACACCAGGTTGCACATTGGGCTACATTTTAAAAGGTGGAGAATACAAAGTAAGGAACGGCAACTGAAATTCTTGTACATTGAAACTGAAAATGTAAGTAGGCTCAATCACTTTTTAAAGCTATCAAATTAGTTTGTAAAAAATGGAAGTATCAACACGATATGATCCATTCATTCCCCTTCTATGTATATATTCAGTAGAAATGCCCACCAGTGTGCCTCAAACGTCATGCACAAAATGTTCACTGCAGTAGTACTCATTTATCCTTTTGAATTTTATAATTTTCACCAGTGAACTATATAGTTATACGTATATGGACATATATACTATAATTTATACATATGTATAAATTATACTATGTATACACTACTATATATTGTAGTGTATAATATATAACTATATATATATAGTTATATATATATATATATATATATATATATATATATAAATTTATTTGCCCAAATTTTTTCAGTGAACATTTAGGTTATTTTGGGTTTTTTTTTGAAATTATAGTGAAATCGGGCCTGGCACGGTGGCTCACGCCTGTAATCCCAGCACTTTGGGAGGCCGAGGCGGGCAGATCACGAGGTCAGGAGATCGAGACCATCCTGGCTAACACGGTGAAACCCCGTCTCTACTAAAAATACAAAAAATTAGCCGGGCATGGTGGCGGGTGCCTGTAGTCCCAGCTACTCGGGAGGCTGAGGCAGGAGAATGGTGTGAACCCGGGAGGCGGGGCTTGCAGTGAGCAGAGATCGCGCCACTGCACTCCAGCCTGGGCGTCAGAGGGAGACTCCATCTCAAAAAAAAAAAAAAAAAAAAAAAAAGGAAAAACAAAGAAATTATAGTGAAATCAACAAGCATATTCACGTACAAGATGTTTTATAATATTGTTGGAATTTATGGTCTAAAAATCCTCAACTTTACTAGATATTGTCATATTTCTCTCCAAAGAGTTTGTGCCAATATATGTACCACTATTTTATGGATCTTTCTGTTTTAAATGTATTCTAATTTGAATTCATGAAAGCTGTACCTCACTGTGTTTTTTATTTCCTTGCCAGGAATAACAGATAGATTCAAAATCTCTTGGCATTTTGTTGTTATGATTTGAATTTCTATTTCTGTGATATTTTGATTCATATATTTTGCCCAAATTTTTTGTTGGATTTTTATTTATTTATAT
Source organism: Homo sapiens (assembly GCF_000001405.40). Taxonomy (NCBI): domain Eukaryota; kingdom Metazoa; phylum Chordata; class Mammalia; order Primates; family Hominidae; genus Homo; species Homo sapiens. Next base: position 52,067,127 of record NC_000002.12, read on the forward strand.
GATCAATTTACATATTCTTAATATTGATCCTTTGTTAGTCATATGTATCATAAATTTTTTTTGAGTCAAAGCTTTGCTTTTCATTACTTCAGTATGTCTTTAGTGGATAAGATTTTTATATTGTTATTATTGTAATATTATCGACTTGGATATCAGAGCTGCCTTGTTACAAAAACACAAGAACTACAGCCACGTGCCACGTAATGACATTTCGGTCAATGATGGGCAGCATATACAGTGGTGGTCCCATAAGATTATAATTGAGCATATATAGAAACCTGATACATGACACTTGATATTGGCATTGCACTTCAAGAAGGAGAAATGATTATTGATATTTAGTAATAGTGCTAGGACCTTTGGTTTGTCATATGAAAAAATACACACACACAGACACACACACACACAAACACACACCCACACACCCCTAGGTTTGTGTAAGTATGCTCTATGATGTTCATGCAATGACTAAATTGTCTAATGACACATTTCACAGAACATATCCCCATCATTAAGTGACGCATGACTGTATTTATATTTTGCTAAACAAACTGCATATTTTAGAACTTTATCACTATTTTACAATTTGATCTATAAAAGATATTTATATTTTCATTAAATTACTTACATTTTATAGTATCTCAAAACGTTTTATAGTTTTTGCTGTCATATTTTTATGTAACTTTTATTTTTTATTGCTCTTGTAGCCATTAGCCACATTATTAAACTCTCTTGTTAATTCTAATAATGGGTCTGAAGAATATCTTGGGTCTTTTTTTATGTAGATGCCATACAGAACTGTATTAAGTAAAATGTAACAGACTGTAATCTACCAATCTGAATGAATTCTAAAAATATATTAAGAAAAATAGCGCATTTCAAGGAAATAGATATATGATGCCACTTATATAACGTTTTACTGTTACGTATACATTTTATATGAAATTTAAATTTATATACAATTATATATAAATTTTATATAAATTATATAAATTGATAAATTTTATATAAAATAATGCTTTGTGAACAACCTGCATTGAGGACATTAAAAACACCAATGCTTATACTTTGTATTTCTTCAACTTGTCTTACTTGATGAATAGATGACAGACATACTTTTCTCATTGTTGGACTTAAATGCTTCAAATATTCTACCATTGATTCAATGTTTACTGCAAGTTTTAATAGACATCCTATATTAAGAAAGTGACTTTCTATTACTAGTTTGGTTAATATTAATAATCTAAAAATCTGTTGAGTTTTATCAAAGACTTCTGTTAAGCTGATAATATGGTTTATTCTTTATAACATGAATTATATCAATAGATTTTGCAAAATTAAGACATCATTGCATCACTTAGGCTTTTGTAAAAACATGTTAATGTTTTGTTCTAAATTTTATATTTAGAGTGACTACATGTACTTCCAAGTGATATTGGCTTATGATACTAATATTTATACAGCCCTAATTTGGTTTTGATATCAAGAATATATGATACTTATAACATGAATTGAGGAGTGTCTCCTCTGTTTTTATTTTCTGAAAAGGCTTACATAATATTTGCAATTCTATTTTCTATGAAAGTTTTTCAGGTATCTGTAAAAATTACACATTCATGACAGTATACTTTTTAAATAAATTTTTAAGTATGAGATAATTCTAATGGCTTATTAATTTATTGAGATTTTTGTCTGAGTCAAAAGATTTTTGTCTGGATAGGTTTTAGTTCTTAAAACATCTAGTTCATCTTTGTTTTCCAAATTATTAGCATAATATTCTTAGTATACACATAATTATTTTAATGTCTGCAATAAATGTTGCATTCTCCATTTTTGTCTTAATATTATGTACTTGTATTTTCTACATCTTTTTCTTGATTAAACATCCCAGAGGTTTGTCTGTTTTATTAACTTTTTTTTACAAGTAAACAATAGCTGATTCTCTATTGTTTATGTTTCCTGATTTTAAACAGCATTAGTAAGTTTACTTTGCAAATTGTGGTATATTAAGCTAATAAATGTAAAAGTAAAACCAGTATTTGGAATCTAGTAAGATCTTTATAAGTACTATTATTGTTATGGCTGCTGAGATTATGATTTCTTTAGGCTTTTATCTTTATTATTATTCCTTTCTATTTTTTCAGTTTTATTACTTTATTTTTATAGCTTATTTTCCATCCTCATATTCAGCACGTCTTTGAATAAAAATATATGATAAATTTATCAATTTATAGTCAAAGTGGTAAATTGTCAAAGAAGCTTCATCCTACTGGTTTTGTTACATTATATTTTCATTTTACATCATTCTGAGTATTTTATTTCACAAAATGAGCTTTCTTTTGACCTAAGATTTATCTACATTTTTAAAATATTTTCAAACATATGTCCTTTTTAAAATTTTTTAAATTGTTTCATACATTTCGATCAATAATTATACATTTGATATCTCTACAGTCAAATTTCTCTTAGGAATATTTCCAGGCTTGTTTGAGAATATACTTCTCTGGAAGGGCTTTGTTTTACTTCTGTCAGACTCCCCAAATTTCTGACAATTTATTACCATATTTTTTATTTCTCAGTTTGAATTATCACACACAGCATAAATTCATTTTCAAAATCTATTTGTGGCCTCTTCTATGGATATAATTATTAGAGGATGTTATTTTTACCATCCAAAAAAATACATAACTTTTTTTTCATTTCATTAAAAATGAAATATTTCCCCAGCAAAGGGAGACTATATGAAATTATTTCTTACAAAGTTTTTTCTTTAGAGAAGTAGTCCCCAGGATCTTGGCTTCCCATGGGAGCTGGAGCTCAACTTTCCTCCTAGTTCCTGCCAAAACTCTGGCTTCCCTATTTAAAGTAGACAGCTCTAGGCTCTAGGTCTGATGAATAGGCAAAAGTCCTTGAGGCAACTCAATTTTGCAATCTTGCTAGCATTCTGATTTTCATCTTTTCCCTCTTTTGTTTGGTCCTTACGTGTTTCCTTTTTTTTTTTATGAATATAACTATGTTCTCCAAAGGCTATTGGCCATATTTTACCCATTTTCCTAGGATTAATTATTACCTTGAGGAAATTTCAGAATATTCACTGTTAAGAGAAGTGGAAGATATTGCCTTGTTTGTGATTACAAGTATTCCTGAAAATCCAGTTGTTGACCATATATACCCATCCATTTTAACCTTAATCCTAGCCAACATCTCAATTCTCACCCTTCTCCTCTTATTTGCTGAATGGCTATCTTGTCTTACCTGTCCTCCTTTCCAGTCTCTGCAGTTTCCCAGTGATTCATTCCATCTTAATAAATGCAGGCGCCATGTCTTAAACAGCCCTCTCTGTTTCCTCCATAGTATCTACCTAGTATAATATTTTGACTAGAGTACAACTTTCAAGACATCTTAATTGATTGATTTTAAAATTTATACCAAATAATCCATCTGAAACAAAACAATTTATATGATGTAAGTTTGTTAGTGAGTTAGATTTAGGTATTTCTAATATAACTAACATGTACATTCACTCTGCTACTAGCTAGACACTGCATGACATATGAGAGCCATTTTCTCTTTAGATTAACCCTCTTTATTATAATACTACTTTCTATTCATAACCTACACTGTTTCTGACTGCTCTTGGAATTCCAGGGCACTCTCACTAGCTCTCTGTTAATTTGAACATTAACAAGGTCATCATGTAACTGAAGGGCACTAAATGGTTTTATTTATTTATTTATTTATTTATTTATTTATTTATTTATTTATTTTTGATGCAGGCTCTGAGTTAGGGGAGGGGCATGTACATTTTGAGTTAAATTCAGAGACATTGGAAATACCAAAGAGATACCCACTGTTATTTTTCACAAATGAGTTGGGCTGACAGGTTGTTTAATATCAACAGAATAATGCGTACCCTGACATTTTCAAATTGTCTAGGAACTTTGAGAACTGAATACTTCATCATGCCTTTAGTTCTTCAGTGTTCTTTTCAGAAATCTCTTCCTGCCTGAAATAAGTGTATGACATTAGATTTCCTTCTAAGAAGAGCACAAATAAGTCTCCCCTTTTAAGAATGATTTCCAGTATTCAAATCAGATAGAAATTTCAGGCAGACCTGAATATACATTTATATTTATATCAATTTAACATTTATATGTATCAGATAATTGCTTTGATAAGATGAGAATGAAGTTTAACTAAATTTTGGAGGGGATGGAAACAAACTTTATTTCCAACAACCACCTTACTTATTTGTAATGTTTAGTTTCACGAAAGCACATGCATCAAGTATACAGAACAGCTTTACTTTAGGAAACAAAATAAATGAGCTTTACTTAAGAAATGAGAGAACAATTTTTAAAAGAATGAATAGTATTTGGTTTACTGTTTTATCAAAGTATAAATGTATTAAACAAATGCCACCTTAGCATTGCATATAGTAATTAATATTGAGTGTAAGTAAATACAAACACAGTCATTTTTAAATAATTACTTGTTTTGTTGTAGCTGTTATTTTCTTACAGCTTCATCCATAGCATCAGCAACAATTATAGGTCTAATACTGTGCCAATTCAGTTACATTGTATTAGCTGGACAGCTGTTTAAGGATTTATGAAAATATTCATGCTATCATAACAGCAGTAGCTGATATATTTAATTTTTATTATCTGTAAAATTACCAGATACTCCCTGAAAATCGGTATGGAACAATTAAACTTTTAGACATTCTGGGCCATGGGTGCTGAAGAAAACATTAAGGAAGAAAAAGGCAAAATCAAATATTAGGCTTTCATTCCCTAACTTCTGTCAAAAAAAAATAATAATAAGCTCAGTCCTCATGGATCTTAACAAAGAAGTTCTAGCATGATCATAAGGTCAAACATCGCACAGTGACCTGCCTTTAAAATGTAAGACACCCGACTGGACAAGTTTTCTATACCTCTCTTCTCTGTAGTACTGACTTAGCACTTCACTCACACTGGCTTGGTTATCGGCCAACTTTTCACTAGTAAAGGCTTGCTTCTCAATTTGCCTATAATTTCCACTGTGACAGCCTTTTATCTTTTTGTAATCTCCACAGTACATAGAATGAGATCTTCAATGTCTTAATTTTAGTAACTATTTGTTGATTGATTTTATGTTTGTGTATAGTATGGGAAATATATAGTAGGCCCTCTGAGATAAATAAGAAAAAAAATATATTTAGAATAAAAATATGGTCTCTGCAATATGGACCCAAAGTGTAACGGTCATTCTGGGAAATGAACTAAATAAGATTCTATGAACAGAGTATCCCCAAAAGGGCAATACTAGTGGGTTGGGAGAGGGAGTAAGTGGCACGTAAGGAATTCTGAAACATTGAGACAAGTATTAATTATGATTCATCTGTCCTTATTCCACTCTTGACTTCCTGAAAGAAAATGGTTTTATTTTTGAGTTGTCAAGAGTGTCCTTTATTATTGGTGTGGGCTGATATGATGAAATTAAAACAGAAAAATCCCATGACAACAATATTAACAACTGTTTAGGGCTAGATTGAAGCAAAACAAAAATGTAAGCCTAAAATAATATAATTAAAAGCTCATATTTGCTTATTTCAGGTAATCATGATATTGGCATTGCTTTGGATATTTGTTCCTGACTGCAAGAGATGGGCAAATATTTTCCATAAAGGATAAGATAGTAGATATTTTAGGCTTTTTCAGCCACATGTTATCACTATCACTTATTCCTGTCTTTAAAAAAACACAGTTTAACAGTGTAAAAATAATTCTTCTCTCAAGGGCCATTAAAATACTTCCAGGATATAGTATGCCAAACCTTGCTTATTACTGTTATAAACTACAGGATGTAAATATTAAAGATTTTAACAAATGCCCTTTACTCCTCTAAGTCTGGTTACTAAGGGAACTTTTTATTGCAACCATCTTATTTCTTAAAGATAAGCAGAGTTACGGCAGGGTAGAAATTCAGCTATATAACATAGGCATTACCCTGGATAACAGTCTCTTTTCTTTCAGTGTAGGCTAGAACTAGTGACTCACTTTTAATAAGTAAATAAGGCAATAGTGACAGTGTGTGACTGGGATACTTGGTAGGCCATTATAAAGCAGTATGGCTTTGCATTCTATATCTTAGACCACTTGCTACGGAAAAAGCCAGCTGTTATGTCATGAGCAATTATATAGAGAAGCCCATGAAGCAAGTGACTGAAGCCTCCAGCTAATAGCCATTTGAGTGGACTTAGAGTCAGAACCCCCAGCTCTAGTCAAGCCTCACCTGATTGAAGGTTTGACTGAAATCTTTGTTGTAGTTATGTGAGATACCTTAGGTTGAACCATAAAATACTAATGCAGAAATAAGTTACTACTAATTTAGAGATTTGTAACTAAAGTATAGTCATATTTAGAGACATGCACACCAGGTTTAGGAAAATATTTTTGAGAAGCATTCCTTAATAATAGATCTTCATATTTAGTTAATACATCAAATATCTCTGTTAATGACTCCTAAATTTATAAAGACTTATTCCCCAGACCCTAGTAATGTTCTTTTTCAGTCATCTTAATGTCAGTTTACTTAGTAAATATTTGAAATAAGTTAGTATGAGTAGCATTTTGCTCATTGTTTCTTTACATATCAAAGTCTGGCACTGATTTCTTACAGTAATTATATTTATCCTTAAATTATATCAGGTTAATTATATTAGTTTACCATATCTTAGCTCTTTCTACCCTTTGGTGCTATTCAGCAGAATGATCTGAATATGTGAGTCAATTTTCAGGAACTAAAACATAAAAAGGACCCGTGTACTTTACCTATAAGGATAATGAGTTAACAGTCACCTATACGCATTAGAAACAGATGAAATAGAAATCCTGACCTCAAAATAAATTTCTAATTTCTAAATAAAACACTTTGAGGAAGCAATGGACGTAGGCTAGAAGAAAAGTTATCAAACTTATTGTTAAATTAGTTACAAATTAGGCATTTAAAATATAATACTTTTTGGACTTTAAATATAGAATATAGTCTCCAAGGGACAGCACAGTATATTTATAGTGGTCTTCCCTCTAGCTAATTGAAATAGCAAATGTTTACCCTGGATCAACTCATGACAGTGCCACAGTTGAACAGATTAAGATTTACAGATTGTCACTGCTAATGGCTGCAGCTGCACTATTTTGGTGGCCCAGGAAGTGCGCTTGGCCAGGCAAGCACTGCATCTGCATGCTTAATGTTAACACTCAGGCCTTTTACAGATTTAATAAAATTGACAATTTATGCACAGACATGCCAGAATCTAGAGCCAAGGAAGACAAAATCACTAAGGTTGAGGGGTAAAAATTCAAGCTGCCTGCCAGAAGCATGTGCAGCTGCATTAGAAACAGGAAGAAGGTTCCATCGACACACCTGCTAGAGATGCCTACTTTGCAAAATCTCTGCTTTTTTCCTCCAGTACACAATTGTAGCACCGAGTTCATTATTGCTTACCTGTCTCTCCAGGTGAGATTCAGAGTCGAGGATTGTGTTGTTGATTCAATTTATTCAACAGGAGATACAACCCACTTGAAATTAAGTTACTTTGCCCACTGTTTTCAAAACTCAGGAAGACATTATGTATGTGTGGTATATCATCCTTGTCTTTCTCAATCCCACTTTTCAGTAAAGCAAAGCTTTGTTGTTGGAAAATATATGCAAATGGGAAGTTAGCAGCCAGTCCTTAAATTTCTAGATCTTTCTTTGCTATTTTGAGCCTTTCACATCTTAATGCCTTGTGGGAAGTTAGTCTGCAGTGTTACATTGTTTTGTGATCTAAGAGAAGGCCCCAGTATATCTGTATGAGAAATGCTGAGTGCCTGAATTCAAGCCATCACATTTGATTCAATGAAGTCAGTCCAATCTTACCATTTACAGAATGTGATGGTAAGGGCAGACATTTCTTCCCAACACACTATGTTTCTGTCAGGTAGAGAGAACTCATTAGCATATTAAATCTGGTTTTTAAAATAATTTGGCATAAGAAAGTGACCATGTATTGCTCCATCTCTGTCACATTCTTTCCTTTTTTGGAGTTTGTTTTTACTCAGGGAGTACATGCAATTTGGTGGATAAATCATTCTAATTTCATTTCAATATAAAGAAATCTATTTGCTCAGAAATATAAACCATTGTCAGATTTCAGAAAATGGTCTCTACCTACAACTTTGTCTACTAGTCTAAAAGCAGAAAGGAGAAAAGAGTGACTGTCTCAAATCTGAACAGTTATATTTTTGAGAGTTTGAAGAAAGAATAGATATACATTATAAACAATGTGGTAAAGCATTCACTGTTTCCGATTCCTGTCTAATACGTGAAGGAACTCAACTGGAGAGGAAGGCTATGAATGTAAGGAATGTGGGAAAGCATTGAGACGTTCTTGTTCTTTTAAAATGCATGAAAGGACTCACACTGGAGAAAGACCCTATAAATGTACCAAATGTGATAAAGCCTTCAGTTATTCCACTTCCCTTCATTATTGTCAGGCCTCTGAGCCCAAGCTAAGCCATCATATCCCCTGTGACCTGCACAAATACATCCAGGTGGCCTGAAGCAAGCGAAGAATCACAAAAGAAGTGAAAATGGCCGGTTCCTGCCTTAACTGATGACATTCCGCCATTGTGATTTGTTCCTGCCCCACCTTAACTAAGCGATTAACTTGTGAAATTTCTTCTCCTGGCTCAGAAGCTCCCCCACTGAGCACCTTGTGACCCCCGCCCTGCCCTCAAGAGCAAAACCCCCTTAGACTGTAATTTTCCACTACCTACCCAAATCCTATAAAATGGCCCCACTTCTATCTCCCTTCGCTGACTCTCTTTTTGGACTCAGCCTGCCCGCACCCAGGTGATTAAAAAGCTTTATTGCTCACACACAGCCTGTTTGGTGGTCTCTTCACATGGATGTGTGTGACAGTTACCATAGAAGCATTTATACTGGAGAGAGACCCTGTGAATGTAAAAAATGTGGTAAAGCCTTTAGTCGTTTCCGTTCCCTTTGTAACCATAGAAGTACTCATACTGGAGAGAAACTCTATGAATGTAAAAAAAAGTGATAAAGTCTTCAGTTGTCTCACTTCCCTTCACCTCCATGAAATAATTCATACTGGGAGAAAACGCTATGAATGTAAGACCTGTGATGAAGCCTACACACATTCCATGCCATGACTTACTTGCCATGAAAGAAGTCATGCTGGAGAGGCTGGTACAGTGGCTTACACCTGCAATCCCAGCACTTTGGGAGGCCAAGGTTTGTGGATTGCTTGAGCTTAGGCATTCACAACCAGCCTGGTCAACATAGTGAAACCCTATCTATACGAAAAATAAAATAATTAGCAGGGCATGGTGGTACAGGACTGTAGTCCCAGCTGCTTGAGAGACTGAGATGGGAGGATCACTTGAGCCTGGGAGGTCCAGGCTGTAGTCAGCTAATATCCTGCTGCTGCACTCCAGCCTCCTGGGTGACAGAGTAAAACCCTGTCTCAAAAAAAGAAAAAAGGAAAAAGAAAGCTGGGTGTGATGGCTCATAACCTGTAATCCTAGCACTTTGAGAGTCCAAAGTACGCAGATCACTTGAGGTCAGGAGTTCGAGACCAGCTTGCCCAACATGGCAAAACCCATCTCTACTAAAAATAAAATAATTAGCCAGTCATGCTGGCACATGCCTGTAGTTCCAGCTACTTGAGAGACTGAGATGGGAGGATCACTGGAGCCTGGAAGGTCGAGGCTGCAGCAAGCTGAGATCCTGCTACTGTAGTCCAGCCTGGACAATGGAGTGAGACCCTGTCTCAAAAAGAAGAAGAAGAAGAAGAAAAATTATACTGGAGAGAAAACTTATGAATTGTGGAAAAGCATTCAGTTGTATTAGTTCTTTTTCAAAGACATAAAAAGCCACAGGGGAAAAAAAAAAAAAGAAAAAAAAAGCCCTACGCATGTAAGAAATGTGGTAAAGCACTTACTCTTTCCATTTTCCTCATAAACATGAAAGAGCTCACACTGGAGAGAAACCTTAAAAATGTGAGAAATGTGGTAAAGCCTTCTGATTTTCTTTCTCTGATTTTCTCTTTTTCTTTTTTTCTTTTTTTTTTTTTTTGGAAGGCTTGGGAGGACTCATGGTGAAGAAAAGCCTTTTGAATTTAAATTTGTGGTAAGGCTTTCAGTTGTTCTAGTTCCATTTGAAGACAAGAACTCATTCTGAGAAAAGCCTTATGAATATCTAGAATGTGAGAATGCTTTCATTTCTCTCATATCCATTCAAGGACATATGAAAATGCACACTATAGCTGGATCTTGTAAATATAAGAAAGTACATGGGATTAAAACTCTAATAGGTTGGAAACTACAAGAAAGTTTTCAGTTTTAACATTTACTTCAAAAGAAATGTGAAAACTCCCACTGAAAGAAGTTCTATAAATGAAGTTTTTCTAATTTGGAAAGCCTGATGCAAATTAATTATTGTACGGTGCTTGAAAAGAATGCACATGGATGAAATGTTATGTAAATTAAAAATATATTGTTTTTATCAGTGGCTTGTTCTTCAAAAAGACCCTGGGGTATGCGTTTCGACTTATACTGGAGGAAAACATTGAGGTGAGAGTGTTGTACATGCTCTTTAACCGGTAGTACTTTAATAAGAAATGATATTTTCTTAAGTTTGTTGGTAGAATTTTTGTCTGTTCATTTGATAATATGCTGGATTCAGGGTTGAATTTTGATGTTTTTCTAATATGTAGATGCTTAGTTTTTATGTGTTGTCTTTTGATTAATGGATCAAGGAGTAACAAATGTTACTTGCTGGGATTTTCTTAATAGTCTTATTTGGCAAATTTTTGTTATCCCTTGTCCATTATACACATTCCACCTTTTTTTAATTAAGTGAAAATCTACTCTTGGTGTAAAGATGTTTATTTTTTGCTAATAATGTCTTGGTATTAATTCCTAAGTACATAAGATTTATCAGAGTATCAAAAAAAGAATAGATATACATTAGAAAGAGAACTAAATATTGTTCAAAATAGAATTTGAACATTACGGACTTGATCACATTTTAATTTTATATCATAAGTTTCTGACATGAGGTAACTATGAGGAGGAACAATATAGGAAGTAACACAGAGAAACAATTTCTTATTATCCCACCTCACAGTTCATCACTTCTAAATGCATTGTGTATTCACTATTCAGATTTAAAAAGAAAACAGTCTATCATTTTTGGAATGACCTAGTAGTTCAAATGAGAAAGTAGTCATAGAAAATAAACAAGAAGTCAATGCTTTGGACAGGAAGCAAGCAAAACTGAAGTTTCTCATGGGTCATGGTGTATGATTTCTGCCAAGGACAGCACTGTACAGTCGGAGTAAAAAGTTAGGTGAGGCTATTGTTCAGCCCAATATGCCAGAAAATTCTTTGCGATAAGACAACCCTATATAGAAAATAAGTTTGAAAAAATCTTAGGTATCCTGAGATTTTTATTTCTAAAGATTTGGGGTATATCTGCATGCGGTTACTTGCTTTGTTGAAGCCACTATAGCCCTTCGTAGACACTCACAGCAAAATTATCCCCATTTATCTCAAAATATTTGGTTTTCCACGTATGATCAAACAGCTCTTTTAGAACATGGTGTCTTTATTTTATCAGTTAGAGTGTTACTTGTGCACTCTTTATTCTCTTATATAAATTATAGTTTTATGAAGCTAATTCACATAAAAATTGAATAAAGTATTTTTTAAATAATAATCATTGCAGCAACAAATACCGATTGTTTTCATTTACAATTGGTCCTTCTGTATTCTTCCAATCTGCCTTAATATTTTTAGAGTTTTTTTTGTTTAATCCATCCTACATCAACATAACAATAGTTTGGATGATAATCATTCTTCTTTTGTGTATACTTAGTGGCAGGAAATGGTTGCAACAAACAGTGATATTATAAAATAATGGGGCTACATACTTGTGCTCACCACTGAATTGAATAAATTAAATTGAAGGCACGTGGAAATGGAGATAACTGACCTCTCATTAAGTAAACAAATGCTGAAAAATCCACTGTTGTTAGGGAGACTGTGGATAAAAAATGCTCTTTTTTCTTCTCAATTACGAGCTATCTCCACAGAACCATAACACACACACACACACGCATACACACACTCACATTTATTTTTCTAATGATAGTATTGAACCAAAATAGGGGAAATTATTCTGTGAGTAATTGAGGCTAGTGTAAAATTTTCCTCTCTCTACTAAGAAATGAATGTAAAAGGCTTACTCATATTTTATCATTTTAAGGTTTAAAGTAATAAACATGAATGTGTCAGAATAAATGTTTGATACTTCAAATCTGTGGAGAGAGTAATTTGTTCTATTTGAAGGTATGGAAGTAGTATAAATAGCTTGAATGATCCTACAAGATTAATGTGGTTTAAGATATAGATACAGACAAACTCTGATCAAAAAATTGACTATTGAAACAGGTTTTAAGAGTAATTCATCACATATTCATCGTGTATACTTAATGTGTAGTATATTCAGCATCTATGCATTTATAAATATAGAGAAACATCTTTGTTGCCTTCATCCCAAGACTGACTGTGTACGTTCTGTGCTTGTCACTATAGTCTTTTTGTCATATTACACAATAGACATTTTAGAGATAATTTTTGCACAGGCTTACCTGGGGTCTTCTGTCAGTCTTTTGAGTCTCCTCTATCTGTGCTATCAAGAGTGCCAGAATAAAATGCTTGCTGGAATGGATCAGTGTCATAGATGTTATCTGAAAGCATGGAAGTAAAAATGTTCATCTTTGATAAAGAAAATAGAAGTTAATATTATTAAAATCAAACTTTGCAAATAAATTTTCAAGCCTACCAGACCTAAATTGAATTCACTTTCATTCTTTGCTACCTTTGTTTCACAGGTCTTCATTGTTTTGTTTTGCCCTTCTATTCCATAGACAAGGTAGGAAAAGGCTGCCATTACTGAATATATTCAATACTACCCTGAGAGAAGAAATGAGGTTCTCATGGGAAAAAAGTCAAATATATGATTGTTGCTTAATTTAAGCTTGGTGGTCATTTTCATAGCCAGTATAAACTGACAGAGCCTCAGTATTTCAAACAGACTGTACCTTTTTTTTTTTTTCCAAGACCTCTAATGATATCGGAAGCTAACTCTGCCATGGAAAAGGTATGCTTACGAATATTTTTTCTTGAGTTTTAGGCAAAATTTAAATATCTTTTATCCTAAAGATACTATTATATTTTCACCCAGAAATTAGCAAATTTCACATGCAAAATACCAAATAGTCACTGGAGAAAAAGTGAATATGAGAGAAGATAGCATCTAGAATAATCCCTAGTTTAAAGAAAAGGTAAATGTAATGTCACATATTTAAAATGTCTATTTACATGTCTCATCAACATTACAAAATGAAGATGCAACTCAAAAACCTGCATTCCTAATGCTTTTTACATAGTCACCGTAACTGATAACCCCTCTCTCCTGAGTTTAGAAATAAGGAAACAATACGAGTGTTTTCCCAACTCCCCATCCTAAAAGTATCATTTGATGTGATAGACTTCACTTTTAAAATACAAATACCCTGAAGACGTTATGCCGTTACTTCTCAGCAATTTCTGTGGCCACATTAATTGATAATTTGTTTGTTTTGCTTTGAGCTTCAAAAAGTAGCATCAATCAAAGGGCAAGACTAATGCTTAAAGGAGTGTAGGGCAAGACGGGAAAACCAGGACTTAAAGGAAGACTGTTATGGGACACAATAGTCAGCTGTGGATACTTTGCATATGGCATGAGGATATTAGCCACCTAGAGATTAAGACAAGAATGATGTCAGAAAGTGAAAGAGAAGAAAGAAACAGGGCATGCCCCAAGAACTTATTTTGTTACTTTTGTAAATACAACTGAACCAGTTAGAGCCACTATCCAGATTTATTATATATCCATAGCAGTAAAAATAAAAACAAAAAATAATAAATATTGAATCAACACATCATATTTATGTATGTACTTATTTATCAATATCTGTGTATAATCCTTCCTATAGTGAATAATTTGGAATTCAGTGGCTTTGGGGATGGACTAAGGAGTCAGAGAACAGTTAAAATTCCTAGCTCTAATTATTTGTAGCCATGTGTTCTTGTATGAGATATACAATCTTTTTAAACCTAAGTTTTAAAAAATTTATCTTGTAAAATGAGGATAATAATGGTGCGTAAATTATAGAATAGCTGAAAGATGAAATGGCATATCCCATGCAAACTGCTTAGCACATGACTTGCTCAGTATAAATATTCAGTGAAGGCTGCCTATTTTGTTATAGATCAGCAAGAGTTCTGCTTGCCTCTGGAACACACTGGTAATGACAGAAAACATGCTTAAAAGTATAGTTATTAAGACAGAGTTGGTCTTCGCCTTTCCCATACATGCTGTTACCACCACCACACAAACCACTAAGATTTTAAAAGGAGAAAGCAAAAAAAGCAAGTGCCATCAGATTTTCTGTTCTATTTTTCTAACTCATAATTACCAGAGATGAAGCCCACGTAATTTATTTAATTGTTTCACTGTTTGACACTATGTTTAGTTCCTTTTCTGTTAGTTTATTGCTTGCTGCTGGTCCCCGTGGAACCCTTAGGACACACTTCAAAATGAAATATTTTTTATCCCAATTAAAATATTTTAATGAATTAAGATCCTGAAAGTGCTTGATGATGACTAGCAGCACTATCTTATACAATGGAAAACAGTTCTTAGAGGGCACCAAACTGTGACAAAGAACCAGCAAAAATGACACCTAGCTCATATATTTTAGAGGAGACGATCGTAACGTCAGGAAATATAACATAATAAATTAATGTCTATGCCAGAGAATATTATCTTGCTTATTCACTGCCTTTATGTATGGATACAGGTAGGCTTTTAAAATTAGTGTTTTTTATTTTGTTTTAAGAGAGGATGGTGCATTTGCAGCATCTCTCACCAGTCTCTTTTTCATTAATACTAAATATTATGCTTGCTAAATTTGTATTGTGAACACAAACTTGTATCCCATCTACTCTAATGTAGAACTCCATTAAAAAGTAAAGGTTTTATAGAGGGTTTATATCGCTCTCTTACTACTACCCCAAATTAAATATAAAATATTTTAATAACTATCATAGGCTTTAGTCCAAACAAGACCAAGATCTAGAGATCACCTCTCACAGTCTAGAAAATACAATCAGGAGAGAGTCTGGCCCATAAAACTATTACTCCTTTACCACTGAAGTTCTCCTGGGGAGGGACTTTTTACATTAAGGATACATCTAGCTAATCTCTTTCCAAACCTTTATTCACTTATTCAATTAGAAAATGTATGGGAAAACCTGGGCATCTAGGCTCAGCCCCAGACTGCCGTCCTCTGTAATTTATTTTCCTCTAGCAGCAGCCATCCCCACCTGGTTGCCTAGTACTGAAGTTCAGTGTGGGGAAGTCCACTGATCTCTTACCTAAACCTGCACTCTCTAACATCTGTTTAATCCATGTGAAATTTGATATTTTCACCTCTATTTTATTTCCTAAATTCTTCAGAACTTAGGCAAGAAGTGTGCTCTTTAGCAGCTCCATTGGAGACCTCAAAAAAGCTAGTGAGGTGTAGTGAGAGAGGTGAGGCACTGGGGCACAGAGGGACTGGTGAGTGAAGCTTATGATGGAGCACAGGAAATGAGACCAAAGAACAAAAGAGAAGCAAAGTTGATGGAATTATAATGCACAGTTGGAGCCTGGTCAAAAGAAAGTTAGGACACTTATCACTGCATCATGAAATTAGTGTATTAAGTTGGAGTGGATCATCAAAAAGATTGACAACACAATGAGCAAAATGGCCATTTTAATGATAACCATCAACACACCCACTAACACTAGCACTTATTGAACAATTAGTGTATGTGGTGCACTAGGTTAAGAACTTTAATGCATTAATACATTTAATCCTTAAACCACCCTGATAGTTAGGTACTTAGCTCTTAGCCATTACTGATCAAGGATTTCTTAAATTAGCCCCAGGTTGGAGCAGAGCTAGCTGAGAATCTAGAATAATGTTAAACATACAGGTAGGAGGTAAGTGGCCATAATTTTAAAGGTTACAGGGGTGACTCATTATAGTTAATAGTTCTTTGAGGACTACAAAGGTAGAAGCCTTTGTGAATCATAGAACCACACATCCTAAATTCTGAAGAGACCTACTGTGATCTTCTGACTTACTCTTTGATCTTTAGACATTATCTCCACTTTGCAGAGGAAAAAATCTGAGGCACAGAGAGGTTAAGTGACTTGTTGAAGATCATACAGTTACACTGATAGAAAACTATAAAATCATACCTTATTAAGTCTTGGAAACCTATTGGTAACCTTTTGAGTAACAACTGTTTGAAGAGCCAAATTAATCTTTTCTAGGACATGCACTATTCATGGGTTTTTCCTTCCCCCCACTAGAGTTTAGACACTTGGAGCTTGCTGCTTAAAATAACTACCTCCCACCCCCACCTTCTTCAGCATGGTGACTGCTGGATCCATTTGCAGTCTGTATTTCCCTGGGAGGTGCTAACTCCTGCAGCTTTCTTCTCTGTGAACTGAAGTCTCCATCTATACAATTTCATTGCTCATAAAGATGAGCAAAAAGGAGAGCACAAACAAATCCAATTTACCCATTTTTTGGTATCTAGAATACATGTGGAGACAAAATTGGTAGTTTGCCTCAGCTCTACTTGCTAGGATAATTTGGGGTGATATTGCAACTAAACGTTATGTTTAAACTATGCCAGTCACACTGTGCATTTTAAAGGCCACATTACAAGTCTCATTACCTTTCTAACATATCTGAGAGTATAAGTAAATTTCGAAGAAAAATGGCTTCCATGAATATAAAATTATGTCACCCTTAATTACACATTGTTATTCAAGGTACAGAGAAGACCCGTTTATTTCACCTTACTTCTACTTTGAGATGATTTTCACCGAGGATGAAGTTTTTCAAATGCATTTATTTCAAAAGTTGTTTGTCTTGCTCTTTGTGCTTATGTATAAACATACTAATATACATTTTCAATCCCTAAAATGTATATTGTTGATCTGTGTTTCTAATTTTCTCTTCTTTAAAATTAAATATATTATCAAGTCCTGGACATCTTTAGTCACAAAATAATATAGACTTTTCTCGTGTGTGTGTGTGTGGTTTTTAAAAAATTTTCTCAGCAATATTATTTGCCTCAATTTGGATGGCTGCTGACTGATCAGGGAGGTGGTTGTTGAAGTTTGGGGTGTCTGTGACAATTTCTGAAAATAGGACAGCAATGAAGTTTGCCCTATCTACTGACTCTGCCTTTCATTACAGATTTCACTATAACATGCAGTGCTGTTTGATAGCATTTTATCCACAAGAAAACTTCTTTTAAAATTGGAGTCCCTTTTCTGAACCCATGCTGCTGTTTTATCAACTAAGTTTAAGTAATATTTTAAATTATTTGTTGTCCTTTCAACAATGTTCACAGAATCTTCACTAAGAATAGATTTTGTCTCAAGGAACCACTTTCTTTGTTTATCCATAAGAAGCAACTACTTATCTGTTCAAGTTTTATCATGAGATTGCAACAATTCAGTCACATCTTCAGCCTCTACTTCTAATTAAAATTCTCCTGCTATTTTCACCACATCTACAGTTACTTCCTCCTTTGAGGTTTTGAACCCCTCAAAGTCATGCAAGAGGGTTGCAATGAACTTCTTCCAAACTCCTGGTAATGTTGCTATTTTGACCTTCTTCCATGAATCATGAATGCTCTTAATGACATCAAGAATGGTGGATTCTTTCCAGAAAGATTTCAAGTGACTTCACCTAGATCCATTAGAGAAATCACTATCTCTGGCAGCTATAGCCTTACGAAATGTCTTTCTTAAATAATAAGACTTGAAAGTCAAAATTATTCCTTTATCCATGGGCTAAAGAATGGATATAGTGTTAGCTGGCATGGAACAACATTTAATTTGTACATCTCCATCAGAGCTCTGTGGTGACCAGGTGCAATTTCAGTATGCAGTAATATTTTGAAAGGAAATTTTTTTGCTGAGCAGTATATCTCAAGAGTGGATTAAAATTATTCAGTAAACCATAATATAAACATATATGCTGTCAACCACACTTCATTGTTGCATTTATAGGGCGCAGAAAGAGTGGGTTTAGCATAATTATTAAGGGCCCTAAGATTTTTGGATTAGTAAATGCAAATGGGTTTATTTAAAATCACTTAAATAACTCAATAAACTTAAAGTCACCAGCTACTTTAGCCCCTAACCAGTGAGTCAGCTCGTTCTTTGAAGCTTGGAAACCATGCACCTCTCCTCTCTAGCTATGAATCCCGGATGGCATCTTCTTTCCATACAGGGCTGTTTCATCTACACTGAAAATTTGTTTAATGTAGCCTTCTTCATCAATGATCTTAGCTAGATCTTCTGGATAACTTGCTTTAATTTCTACATGAGCACTTGGGGCTTCACTTTGCACTTTTATATTATGAAAACAGTTTATTTCCTTAAACTTCATGAACTAACCTATGTTAGCTTCAAACTTTTCTTCTGCAGTTTCCTCACCACTCTCAGCCTTTATATAATTGAAGTGTTAGGATCTTGGTCTGGATTGTCCTTTGGCTTAAGGGAATGTTGTGGCTGGCTAAATCTTCTATCCAGATCACTAAAACTTTCTACATGTCAGCAATAAAGCTGTTTCACTTTCTTGTCATTCACATGTTCACTGAAGTAACACTTTTAATTTCCTTCAAGAACTTTTCATTTGCATTCATAACATGGCTAACTGTTTGGTATTGGAGGCCTAGCTTCAGGCCTATCTGGGCTTTCAAGATGCCTTTCTCACTAAGCTTAATCATTTGTAGCTTTTGATTTAAAGTGGAATGTATGCAACTCTTCCTTTTAGTTGAATACTTGGAGGCCATTGTAGAGTTATTAACTACGTAATTTCAATATTGTTGTATCTCAGGAAATAGGAAAGCCCAAGGACGGGAAGGAGGTGGGGAAATGGCTGGTCAGAGGAATAGTGACAACAGATATGTTTATCAATTAAGCGTGCTGTCTAATATGGGTACAGTTTGTGGCACCCCACAGCAATTACAGTAGTACTACCAAAATCTCTGGTCACAACCAGAAAAGATGTAATAATAATGACAAGTAATGAAATATTGCAAGTGTTACTCAAATGTGACACAGAAACATGAAGTTAGCACATGGTGTTGGAAAAATCTGCTGATACGTATGCTTGATGTGGGGTTGCTACAAACCTTTAATTTGTAAAAAAAAAAAAAAAAAAAAAAAAAAAGACCATATCTGCAAAGCACAATAAAGCAAAATGCAATAAAACAATTGTGTGTACAGTTAGCATTTGTTAATATTTTTTATTTGACTTTTTTAAAGAGTCTGTTCTCTGTTATTTATGGTGCCAAATACAAATCTATTAACCTACTAATTAACAATGGAGGCTTCTCAGACTATCATAGTCCATGTGGTCTTTCTTAACTAAATACCAGAGGTTTTTTATGTTTTGTTTTGTTTTCTCTGCTCCTAATAAATACGTCTCTTGGCTGTTTGTTGTGCCTTATCTCTCCTAATATAGAAATAGTGAGTTTGCAACAAATACACATGGGGAAGATGACATAAGCAAGGAATAAAACTTAGATATATTGAATTGCTAATATTTGATCTTTATTTTTTATTGTAGCATATTTGTCATTTTCTGAATTATAAACATACCTCCCAGTCACTGAAAATGTTTCACAAAATTCAAAACCACTAAGTGTTTCCTTATTACAATACTAACCCCTTCTTTTTCCTTCCAGTATATTATATCTTATTCTTCATAATTTTGCATCATTCATTTATCCAGTTAAACTGCCAATGAAACTTTATTGTATGCATATTCAACCTGGTATTAGGTTATTTACCAGTGAAGTCATATTAACAAAAAGTATTTTATTGATATTTAAACTATGATTTTGGCTGTGGGAAATAATTTACTAAATTCCAAATAAATAGAATAATTTACATTTTTTCTCTAAATTTTTACCTATATTTGCTTATTTTACATTACTTTTGAGAACTCTCTTGGATCATATTTGCATTCTGCTTCATTTCTCTTATCCTTTCCAGTTCCAGGAAGACCGATAATAAACAGGAAGTTTAATATTTTTTCTTTCCAAATACTGGGCACTTGTAGACTCCACAAATTTTTATAGGAAATAAACAAAATTTATTTAAACTACCCAAAAGTTTTTATTATATATCTTTGTAAAAATCCAAATATTGAGAGGCTGTTCTGCTTTAATAATAGTTTAATAACAAGTAAATACAATGGAAGTGACAAATAATGGAAAATTATCGATTGTTGTCTAAATTGTCCCATGCTCCTATTATGCTAATCTCTGGAGTAAAAGAGTATTACTATGAAAACTGAGAAATGTTTGGCTAAATCTAAAAACTCTTCTTTAAATAGTACATATTTTTAAGATTCTTAAGGTCAATAGAAGTGAGAATACTACTGAATAAATGTTTTAAAATTATGCCTATTCCTGAGTTTTGTCCTCTTACAATACACTGTCATAATGGAAGACGTAAAGCTAGGATATTTAATCCCAAAAGATTTCATGGAAAACTTAGAAAGTTGAATGCATTTCTAAATATAAATAAATTTCTAAATATGTCATAAATAATAGTCTGATATACCTGTACAGAAAATATAATACTGCTAAAATACATTCAACTCAGTACTTTTGGTAAATATCATTTATTGCTAATAAAAAGGTTAGATATAAGACACATTTGGTGTGCTTCAGTCTTGATTCAATTTATTGATGAGCTTCTACAATAACGAATTTATTTTATTATGTCCACTGTATTTTATATAGAATGTGTCATTCTGTCTATGATAACAAACGACATTAGCAGGTATAAAGATAAGTGATTTGATATTAAGAGATAGGCTATGCAAAAAAAATATTAAAAAGCTAACTTAAAAAAATATTTTTTGACAAGCTAAATGTAACTTTTTTACTTAATTGGTGCTTTGAATAAAGAGCCAGATTGTGGTGACACTAGCACTATGAAACTGTTGGCATTTTTCTCATTAACCCTATTTTTAAAATGACTTATATTTTTACTTCAAAAATAATATTTAAATTACTTTGGATAAATTTGAGCTGACTTAAAAATATCCTTGGTTATTTTATTTTACCTAAGAAGGCATAAAAACAATATTCTTTCTCAGAAAGAAAAAATTTGAAAGATAACGTTCAATAACTCAAGTATGAGGGTATCACCTAATTGTGTCAATAACAGTAATATAAATATACACAACTCCTGGAAGGCATACAAACAAGCACAGCCTACCACACAAACTAAAGCTATAGACACATGAGCCTGTTATAGTACAGTGAAGGTCACATAAAGGACACAGGGAAGCAAAGGGAAGGCTTCTGGATTCAGAAGGTTAGGATTCTAATCCTGACAATCAAAATCTTAAGGTCAGTTATAACAAACTTCTTAAACTTCTAAGTCAGGATTTATTAAACTACAAAATAAGGGTTTAAACTGGAAGGCTTTATTGGTTCCTTTTAACCCAGAAATTCTCTGATGCCCTACAATATCTTCAGTTTTATCTGCCTCTTTTTTTCTAGATACCTCTTATAAAAAGCAAAATAACATACATCAATAATCCAGCTCTTGCAAGTGATGATTATCTACCACTTTAAAATAGAATGGAGTAATTTGTGATATATGACTGCTTTTGTCAGGAAAAAAGTAGATTAAGTAAAAAATCATAGTTAAAATAGAAAAAGAAAACCCTGTTTAAAGAAATCATAGCATTTTTGAAGCAAAAAGCCTTTGATAGATAAACATCATGGAGTGAAGGAACAAGAGAGTGGTGAATTTACAATTTGAAGACATAGTTTATCCTATAAATATTCTATGAGTGTCTGGACTTTTCCTGGGCAGAAGGCCACACTAAGTGATACAGAAACTAGCAGAAGTTTTGGTAGTCTTATATACTAGAGCAGAAAATGGTGTATTTAAAAAAAAAAAAAAAAACCTTAGAAGAGGTCCCTTACCTCTGTTAAGGGACACAGGTAAACATTTTCAGCTTTGCGGTTACATAGTGTCTGTGTCAACTACTCAATTCTGCCATTGTAGTGAAATTTGTCCTAGATAGTATGTAAGTGAATGTGTTTATGTTCCAATAAAACTAGTGAAATTTAAGTGTCATAAAATTTCACATTTTATGAAATATTTTATCCCTGAACTATTTAAAATGTAAAAATACTTCTTAGTTCATACGCTGTCAAAAAAGTCAGTAGGCCAAAGAAACAGACATCGGTACAAAAGAGACAACTTTGGAGACTTGTATGGTTTCAGTCAATTTCTCTATTAAGACATTAGCCAAATTCTGAAGCTGTATGAGTTGGGAGCTGAACATTCTGAAAAGAAGAAAAGAGTTTTCCAAAGTACCCTCGTGGTGGTGGTGGTAAGACACTGGAGCAGTCCTGGTGAATTCACTGAATTCTAAATTTAAAATTTTAAAATCTATGTCTCAGGAATGGAGTAAGAAGTAGACTAAATCTTCATAAAACTGCAACACTGCCTCCACTAAACTTCATCCAAGAATGGAATAAATTGATTTGTTTGCCAGTCTATCCACCTAGAAAGGAAAAAGTAAACTTCCCCTGGTTGAAAAACAGCATCTGCTTGGGCCTCTACATTTTGCACAGAACATGGCTAGAAAAAAAAATGTAGGCATGTCGAGAGTAATGAGATTAAGAAAAAAAAATCAAGAGGGTCATCAGATGATAGCTACATACCCGCCTACACATGATCTAGATAATGTACTTCACTGACTATGACTTTTATGTAATTATTATTAAAATATTCAAGTAAAAAGACAAAAGATAGGAGAACTACATGAGAAAAAAATTAATGATTCTGGTTAGATTTTACTTTCAACCTTACACAGATCTCTTAAAATTACTACACACATGCACATACACATAAAATCAGGATGACTATTCTAAGTTTGGCTTGATTTCTTTCTTAAATGTTTGAAAGACATTTCTAGTGAAGCAATCTTTTTTCTGGGGAGGGTTTTAATAATAGATTATATGTTTAAAAATATTTGTAGGGCTGTTCAGATTTTCTTTTCATGTGTCAATCTTGGAATATACTATTCAAGGAGTTATTTTCTTAAAATTGTCAAATAGTTAAAGTATCAGTAATCTTTGTTTCTATCTTCATGTCTTCAGGGATAAAAATATGAAATATGGAGTGATATTTCATCATATTTCTGATGTCGGTAACTTGTAAATGTTCTGTGTTTTCCTTGATCAGTCTTGCTAGCATTTGACTAAGATTATTCATATTTTCAAAGAATCACCTCTTTCTTGTTTTAATGTACTCTTTTGTGCATTTTCTCTTTCATTAAATTATCTTATCTCTATTATTTTCTTCTGTTTACCTTTGTTTGTTTGATTTGCTCTACATTTCCTAGCGTCTTGAGATGGAAGCTTAAATCATTAATTTTCAATTTTTGTTCTTTCCTAATATATGCATGTAAGAATATAAATTCCTCCCTAGACATTGATGTTGCTATTTCCCACAAACATTCATATGCTGTGTCCTCATTATCTTTTTGCTTAAAATATTTTCCAATTTCTATTGCGATTTCTTCTTTGACCCATGGGTTGTTTGGGATTGTGTTGCTTAATTTCTAACAGTTGGAGACTTTCTAATTATCTTTTCCTCATTTATTTCTAGTTTAATTTTCTACAGTCAGAAAACATCTAAATATAATTTTATTCTTTGAATTTTTGTTTAGATTTGCTGCATGATCTAAGACACATAAAAATATATCTTCTGTACTCATTAAATAAATACTTTTGTCTTTTTGGACTAGATGTTTTATGTGATTGTATGTGATCGTATGTAGTTATTTTTGATTGGTTCATCATTTAGTCTTTCTACTTAGGATCAGAGTAGTTCATACACCACAGTTACAATGTTATAATACTTTGTGTATCTCTGTGTACTTACTATTGTCAGTGAGGTTTATACCTTTAAGTGATTTGTTATTGCTCGTTAATGCCCTATTCTTTCTGATTGAATTACTCCCTTTATTGTTTACTTAGAACAGGTCTAGCATGGATGAAACCTCTCAGCTTTTGTTTTTCTAGGAAGATCTTTATTTCTCTTTCATGGTCAAAGAATATTTTCACCAGATATACTATTCTAGGGCATTTTTTTTTTTCCTTCAGCACTTTAGATATGTCCTGCTACTCTCTTCTGGCCTGTAAGTTTCCCACTGAAAAGACTGTGCCAGACATATTGGAGCTCCATTGCATGTTATTTGTTTCTTCTCTCTTGCCGCCTTTAGAATCCTTTCTTTATGTTTGACCTTTGGGAGTTTGATTGTTAAATGCATTGTGGTAGTCTTCTTTGGGTTAAATCTGCTTGATGTTCCATAACCTTCTTGTACTTGGATACTGATAACTTTCTCTAGTTTTGGGAAGTTCTCTGTTATTATCCCTTTATATAAACTTTTACTTCTATTTATTTCTTGACCTTCTCTTTAAAGCTAATGACTCTTAGATATGCTTTTTGAGGCTACTTTCTAGATTCTGTAGGCAGAATTCATTGTCTTTTATTCTCTCTTCTTTTGTCTCATCTGACTGTATGTTTTCAAATACCTTGTCTTCACACACACTAGTTCTTCCTTTTGCTTGATTAATTCTGCTATTAGATGACTCTGATGCATTCTTCATATGCCAGTTGCATTTTTCAGCTCCAGAATTTTTGTGTGAATCTTTTTAATTATTTCAGTCTCTTCGTGAAAAAAGGTAGAAGTCTGAATGCCTTCTCTGTGTTATCTTGAAATTCTTTGAATTTACTCAACGCAGCTATTTTCATTTATCTGTCTGAAAGGTTACATATCTCTTTTTCTCCAGAATTGGTCCCTGGTGCCTTATTTAGTTCATTTGGTCAGGTCGTGTTTTCCTGAATTGTGTTGATGCTAGGAGGTGTTCTTCTGTGTCTGGGCATTGAGGAGTTAGTTATTTATTGTAGTCTACACAGTCTGGTTTTATTTGTATCCATCTTTCTCAGGAAGGCTTTCTGGAAAAGGACTTTCGTGTTGTAATCTAAGCTGTATCTGTTTTTAGGGGGTACCCCAAGTCCAGAAATGCTCTAGTTCTTGCACTCATAGAGGTACTACCTTGATGGTCTTGGACAAGATCTAGGATAATTCTTTGGATTATCAGGCAGAGATTCTTGTTCTTTTCCCTTACTTTCTCTAAAATGAAGTCTCTTCCTCTCTTCCGAGCCACCTTAGGCTGGGGGTGGAGTGACACAAGTACCCCTGTGGCCACCACCACTATAACTGTTCTGGGTCAGGCCTAAAGCCAGGACAGCTGTGAGTCTCACCCAAGGCCTACTGTAACCTCTCCCTGGATACTGCCTGTGTTTGCTCAAGGCCCTGGGGCTCTGCAATCAGCCACTGGCAAAGCCAGCCAGGCTTGTGTTCTTCCCTTCAGGTGGCAAGGTCTCCCAGGCCCCAGGTGGATCTAGAGGTGCCATCTGAGAGTCAGGGACTAGAGTCAAAGACCTTAGAAGTCCGTCTGGTGTTCTCTTGTACTGCGACTGAGCTGGCACTCAAACCACAAGATACAGTCCTTCTTACTCTTTCCTCCCATTTCCAAAAGCAGAGGAGACTGACCCCATAGCCACCACCCCATGGCTATGAGCAGTACTGCCGGATTACTGCTGATACTACCTTAAGGTCCAAAGGCTCTTAAGTCACCTTGTGGTGAATGCTGCCTGGCCTGGTACTCGCCCGAAG
This sequence comes from Homo sapiens, assembly GCF_000001405.40. Taxonomy (NCBI): domain Eukaryota; kingdom Metazoa; phylum Chordata; class Mammalia; order Primates; family Hominidae; genus Homo; species Homo sapiens. The sequence goes on from NC_000002.12 coordinate 52,093,093, forward strand.
GGCAGTAGGCTGCCCTCTAGCCCAGGACATGTCCAGAAATACTGTCTAAGAGTCAAGTCCTGGAATCAGGAAGCCCAAGAGCCTGCTTGATGTTCTATCCCACCATGGCTATTGCAGTACCTAAGGTGCAAGGCAAAGTCCCCTCTGCTTCTCTCAAGAAGAAATGGTTTTTCCTCTAGTCACCACAACGGGTAATGTGCTGAGTCTCATCTGAAGCCAGCAAGTCTCAGAGGCTCACCAAAGGCCCTCAGGATAATTCCTGGGTATTGTTACTGGTTATTCAGGGCCCAAGGGCCCTTCAGTTAGCAGATGATGAATGCTGCTAGGACTGGATCCTTTCCTTCAAAGCAATGGGTTCTCTTCTGGCCCATGGTGGTGTCTAGAAATGTCACCTGGGACTAGGGTTTGGAATGGGGGCCTTGTGGTTCTGACTGGTGTCCTATCCTGCTGTGACTGAGCTGGTATCCAAGGTATAAGACAAAGTCCTCCCCATTCTTCCCTCTTCTCTCCTCAAATGGAAGGAAGGGGTCTCTCTTGGAGATCTAAACTGTGCAGCCTGGGGTTAGGGAAAGGGTGATGCCCGCACTTCCTTGGCTGCCCCAGCTGGTGTCTCAGTATGTCACATGCCTCCCCAGTCCACTGTCTCTAGGCCTAGTTCAGCACTGGGACACACATAAGAGTTGCAATCCTTGTGGCCTAGACTTCCTTTCAAGTTTACTTAGAGACACAGAGCAATCCAGTCCTCAGTGGCAAGATTGGCAGGGACTCGAGTTCTGACCACTGGGATCTGCAATACCCGTCTGGCTGTGGCTGGTTTAAATGTTCACTTCGTGGGCAGGCATCATCTGAGTTTGGTCTGGTTTTCCTTTCCACTCTAAGAGGACAACGCTGAGTTTAATGCCTCACAATTGCTGTGTTATTCCTCCCTCAGTTCCCAGAGATGCTCTCAGCACCATGACAGTGCTGCAGGGAGAATAGGGGCATGGGCAGGAGTATGTCAGCTATTCAAGACTGTTCTCTCTGTCTCTTTAGTGCCTCTTTCAGTGATACGGAGTTAAAACCAGGTACTATGAGTGCTCACCTGCTTTTTTGCTATTATGAAGGTGTTTTTTTTCTGTGTAGATAGTTGTTAAATTGGTGTCCTTGTCAGGGGATGATTGGTAGAGCTTTCTATTCCACCACTTTGCTCTGCCTCCTTCAAAATACAGCTGTTTTACATTAATTTAATATGCACAGTGTTAAATATTTTACTATTTTAAAGGTTAAAAATACATATTTGACATTATAATTATGTACAATTTTATTCATAATGTCTATGAAAATACTAAAGCTTTGAACATTTTACTCCAATTCTCAAATTTTATTTAACTTTTATTTTATACATTTTTATCTGTAAGCCACTATAATTGTTGATTGGTAAGACAATCTGGATCACATTCACTAATATCTTTCCTGTTTTTATGTGATTATTTTCTTTTGTCTATAGTAATACCTTTTATATATCTAATAGTGAATGCATCTATTGATGGTACATTCATTCTCTCCTTTTTGTTTTTCAGCGTGAATAGTTTTTTATTTCTCTTTATTTTATAAGGATATTTGTTTCTCAGCATAAACTTCTAAATTGGCAAGTCACTTTTTAATTTTAGAGTGGTCTTATTCCATTTTATTCTCACTTTCATAATTTCAGGCATCAGTCTTTTTATTAAGAGAGTAATGTGTGTCTTTTCAGGAGTCTTATTTTGTTTTGTTTTGCTTTTAGTAGTTTTATTACGTTTGCTTATTTGTAGTCATTGTTATATGCCTATTGTTGGGATTCTCATAAATTTTTGAATCTGTGGGCTGGTGTATTTATTGAATTTTGAATATTAGTTCTTCAAAGATTATTGATGACTATCTTTTTCTTCTATTCTTTCTCCAACAAGTACACATATATTAGGCTGTTTTACTCTGACCCATATATTCTTAGTGTTGTTTTATATATTTTCCATTTATTTTCCTTGTTTTGCTCAATTTAAAAATTGTTTTTTGATATTTCTCCCAGTTTACTTGTTCTTTCTTTTGCCGTGTTTAACGTGCTATGAAACCTGTATAAAAAGTTCCTAACTCATAAATGGTATTTTTCAGCTTCAGAGTCTTTATTTTATTATATTATATACATTTGGATTCTTTGGTGCAATCGTCTATGTTTTAGTCTATTTTTTATGCCTTTTCCTTCATATCTGTGACATATTAATTCTTGGCCAGCGAACTCCACTCTATTTGTAACTGTGTTTCTATTTTCTATTTTCACATTGGTTTCTAGTCAAATGTTCTTATTTTTTTTGTGTTTGATTTTTATTGTATAATAGAGTATAAAAATATTGAGAGGATTTATATGATGGTATTTTTAAATTCACAGTATTCAGAAAATATTAATATTCCTTAAAAATGTAACTTTCTAAAAGTAGGCACCCATGAGAAATAAGGGTAGTTATTGTAAAATTTCAATTTCATTAAATATACTTAGCCTATTTTACTTGACATCACCATTAATAAGTTAGTGGGTTAAAAATCCCAGTGTTCCTAACCAGCATACATTTTACAGGAGCCTCAAAAGTGTATGTGGTAGGGACCTATAATAAAAAGGCACCAATGACCAGAATCTAGAAATTGATTCTTTTATTGGCTAGTAACTTACATTATAATATCGCAAGGCTTGATTTAGGCTTGAATGTTTATAAAGGAGGGTGTGTTAACCACCTTGTTTTGGTAGAGTATTATTGCATTTGTCTTTTACTATGTCTTAGATGAGCTAGGTATCAGTGTTTTAGTGCTGTATTTTTATTCTATTTGAAGCCATAATCAAATGCTATTTTGATCTATAAGAGACAAAGCTTAAACACTAGATAAATGTAATTAGATAGATTACATGTGTACTAATGATGAATTAAATTCTCAATTGCAATAATAAAAATAATTCACTTGTGAATTAGAAACCTGGAATTAATAAATTGAGGATTACATTACTCATAATCGTCAATATTGTGTTCTCCTCTATCTAGTATTGTCCAATGCGCAATGAGCAGAATAGATACCACTTCTGGACTGAGGGAATAGAAAATCCATGCATGGTTGTCTACCATAGCAAAAGCACATGGATGGATGTGTAATAATTGAGCAATATGATGATGGCACCCCCAGAATTTTGGATATCTGACTCTAAGGATAGAAGACAGTTATTTTAGAAAATCATTCAGATATGCAGTAGGCTCTGTACAAGTGAGAAATAAATGTTTATTTTATGAGTTCAGTGACATTTTTGGATTGATTTGTTAGCATAGGAAAAATTGACCTATCCTAATTTATGTAGAAACTTGTAGAATGTCATTGAGACTAAAGGACCTAAATGAGAGTAGAAGTAATAGTGTTTAGGTGCTCTCTGGGGAACCAGATACTAGGCTGACATTACCAAGACTAATTATACATCTCTCCTACTCCTGTTGACTCTCCCATCTCTCTCTTGGTCTAAATCAGTGCAGATGAAGTTAACAGTCTTGTAATTGAGTAAATTTTTAGGAGACAGGTTAATCGAACATTATCATAGGTTGAACAGAGCTTACAGAAGATTCTTATAAATACCTTATTAGTGACTAAAAAATATTATGATATGGTTAGTTTTTTCTTTGTTAAATGTATAGTTTTACTCATCCATATTTTGATGAAATTATATTTATAATAATTAAACACAGATGATATTTATTTCTAGCATACAAACCAATTACCACAGTAGTTATCATTTCTAACTACAGATTAGAAGGCCATAGGGAGGTTTAATAATTTAATTGCCCAATCCCAGAGATTCTAATTTAGTTTTTCTAGGGTGGAGCCAAGCCAATATCTTGATACTTTTCTAAGTGGTTCTAATATTTAGTCAAAACAGCTACCATATATGGTAAAAGCAGACTACAATGTGACTAAATAAAATCATTTTTTGCCAGAACCTTTCATCATTCTTGGCCTTTTCCAGAATACTTCCTATAATAGATAGAGTCCTTCAAATAATTTAATTACCTTTGCATACATGTCTGATTAAGGAAGATATCACCCATGCCGAAATAGAATAAAATCTAATACTATTGGATAAATACAGAACGTTGAGCCTGATGCCACGAGTTGCTTAAGACTCTGCCCCAAATTACGCAACTACAGGCTTTTCTGACTTTGACTTCAGTTTGACTAATCAAATTTTGGGTAAGGGCTACATACACCTCATCCTATGCTTATTGCTGAAGATATAAAAATACCTAAGATTAAGTTTTCACTTTTAAGGTAAGCAAAGCCTGTTACAAAAACAAAGGAAAACTAAAATAATATCACTATCATATAATACTTTGGGTTTCTGCTCAGAGACACAGTAAGCTGAAAAGTTATATCTAGACCCATACAACAACAAAAAAGATGGACAAATAGCAAAGATTAATGTATCTGAGAGATGATTCTCAGAGCAATCAAATAGACTAAGATCTAAGGAGACACAAGTGTTTGCAAGGAGCAACAGGATATGATCATGTGCTTACCTGAGGAAGATGCAATGACATGGGACACCAGCACGAAAACTCAGAACAGGTAAAAATTGGTGAAAACTGAATGTGGGATGGTGAGAGAGTTTGTTGCTTCCAGGGACCACATGGGGGTGGCTTCATACTCTTTTGAAAGCTTATTCATAAATGTGTGTTTATTTATGGACACTAAATTGTATTACATCAATCTATATTTCCACACTTACACCAACACCACATTGTTTTGATTAATGAATTTTGAAATTGGGAAGTTCTCCAACTTGTTTTTTTTATTTCAAGATTGTTTTGCTGTTCTTGCTTGCTTGCATATCCATAGAAATTTTAAGATGGGCTTGCCAAATTCTTGCAAAAAATAAATCTAGGGTTTTGCGTGAATTGAATTGAATCTGTAATTTATTATTATTAAGTATTGCCATTAATGTCTTTCCTTTTTTTTTTTTTTTTCTGAGATGGAGTCTTGCTCTGTTACCCAAGCTGGAGTGCAGTGGCGCCATCTTGGCACACTGCAACCTCTGCCTTCTGGGTTCAAGTGATTCTCCTGCCTCAGCCTTCCAAGTAGCTGGGATTATACGTGCATGCCACAATGCCCGGCTAGATTTTTGAATTTTTAGTAGAGACGGGGTCTCGCTATGTTGACCAGGCTAGTCTTGAACTCCTGACCGCAAGTGATTCACTCACTTTAGCCTCCCAAAGTGCTGGGATTACAGGTATGAGCCACCATGCCTGGCTATGTCTTTCATTTTAGTTATATGTTCTATATTTTTTTTCAACAATGTTCTGTAGTTTTCAGAGTATAAGTTTTGTGCTTCTTTTAAGTTTATTTCTAAGTATTTTTTTCATTTTACTCTTATAATTCCATGATAAGTGGAATTTTCTCAATTTTATCTTAGTTCATGCATTGCTACTTTATAGAAATATAATTAATTTTTACATTGATTTTATATCTTTAAATATTTCTGAATTTATTTATTAGTGCTAACAGTTTGTTTTATAAACTCCTTAGTATTTTCCATTATATACAGGATATGTAATCTACAGGTAGACATAGTTTTGCTTCTTCCCTTCGAATCTGGCTGCCTTTTATTTCATTTCCTTGATTTATTTCTCTGACTAGAACTGCCAAAAAATGTTGAATTAAATTTGGAAACAAATACTTGTCCTCTCCTCATTTTAGAGAGAAAGCATGTCTTTTTTCACTTTTAAGAAAAGCGTTAGCAGTGTTTTTTTTTTGTAGATGTCCTTTATCACACTGATGAAGTTCTGCTTCTCTTCCATTCTTAATTTGTTGAGGACTTTTATCAAGAAAGAGTGCTATATCTTGTCAATTGCTTTTTCTGTGTCTGTTAATATGATCATGTGAGTTATATCCATTATTTTATTGATGTGGTATATTACATTAATTTGATTTTCACATGTTAAACTGACCTTGCATTTCTAATACAAATCCCATTTGATCATTATATGTAATTCTTTTTATATATTGCTAGATTTTACTTGCTATTAGTTAGTTGAGAATTTTTGGATTTATATTCAAAAAGCTATTGGTCAATAGCTTTTGTTTCTTCTAAATAATTTGTCTGGTTCTTGTCTGAGGCTATTACTGGCTTTATAAAATAAACCGAAAGTGTTATGTCTTCTATCTTTTGAAAGACCTTTTGAAGTATTGGTATTAATTCTTCTTTAAATATTTGGTAGGCTCCTCAGAGAAGCCTTCTCGTCATAGAATTGTGTTGTTATTGGAAATATTATGGATGTAAATTATAACATTTTTCTTGTGATATATCCATTCAGATTTTCTATGTCTTGCTGGGCCAGTAGTTTTTTTTTTTAGAGACAAGATCTCAATCACCAAGGCTGAAGTACAGTGGCATAACCAGATTACTGACACCTCAAGCTCCTAAGTACAAACAATCATCCCCCCTCAGCCTCTTGGGTAACTAGGACTATAGGCATGCATCACATCTGGATAATTTTTTTTTTTTGTACAGATAAGGTCACACTATGTTGCCGAGGCTGGTCTCGAACCTTTGGCTTCAAGTGATCCTCCCACCCTGGCCTCCCAAAGTTTTGGGATTACAGGCATGAACCATGGTATCCACCCAAGGTCAGCTTTGATAGTTGTGTCTTTCTAGGAAATCTAAGTTATCTAATTTGTTGTCATATACTTACTCATATTTCTCAAATTTTTTTCGCTTCTCTAAGATCATTAGTATGTGTTCTCATTCATTTCTGATTTTAGTAATGTCAGTCTTCTATTTTTTTCTTTGTCAGTCTGACTAGAGGTTTCTCAATTGTATTGATCTTTTCAAATAATCAACTGTTAGTTTCCTAGATTGTTTCCATTGTTATCTAATCAAATCTCTATTAATTTCCACTGAAGATTTTATTACCTACTTCCTTCTTTTCTTTTTGAGTTTCATTGACTTTTCTTTTTCTAGTGTCTTAGGATGAAAGTGTAGGCCATTTATATATATATACACACATATATATGTATATATATACACATATGTATATATATACACACACATACACACAGTCTATTAAAATATATATAAATTAAAATAAAATAATATATATATATTTTAGAGCAATTTTAGGTTCACACAAAAATTGGGCAGAAAATAAGAACTTACAGAGATTTTCCATATACTGCATGCCCCAACACATGCATTGCCTTTCCCATTACGAACATCCCCCACCACAGTGGTACACTTGTTACAGCTGACGAATCTGAATTGACATTATATTAATCATTCAAAGTCCATAGTTTACATTAGTCCACAGTTTACATTACAATTTATAATTGACACATACTCACCATTACAGTATTATACAGAGTATTATGACTGCCCTAAAAATCCTCTGTGCTCTGTCTATTCATCCCTTTTTCTTCCCAATCCATGGCAACCATTGATTTTTTCACTGTTTCCATAGTTCTGCCTTTTCCAGGATGCCATATAGTTGGAATCACATAATACACAGCCTTTTTAGACTAGCTTATTTTACTTGAGAATATATGTTTGTGGCTCCTCCGTGTGTCTTCATGGCTTTATATCTCAGTTTCTTGTAGTCCTAGGTAATATTTCATTGTGCTAATGTATCACAGTTTATTTATCCATTCACCTTCTGAAGGACATCTTGTTGCTTCTAATTTTGGCATTTATTAAGAAAGCTGCTATACACGTCTGTGTAAACATTTCTATGTGAATACATTTTTAACTTCTTTGGGTTAATACCAAGGAATACAGTTACTGGATCATATGTCAGGAGTATATTTAGTTTTGAGAGAAACCACCAAACTCTTACAAAGTGGCTATGCAATTTTGCATTCCCACCAGCAATAAATGAAAGTCCTTGCTGTTCCAGATCCTGATCAGAATTTGGTGTCAGTTTTCCGGGTTTTGATCTTTCAAGCTTGCATTTTCCTGAGGACATATAATGTGGAACACCGTTTTATATGATTATTTGTCATGCGAACATTTTCTCTGGTGAGATATTTGTTAAGCTCTTTGGTCCATTTTTAAATAGGAATGCCTCTTTTCTTACTGTTGAGTTTTAAGTGTCCCTTGAATATTTTGGATTATAGTATTTTGCAAATATTTTCTCCCAGTCTCTTGCTTTTTTAATTCTCTTCATAATGCGTTTCACAGAGTAGAATTTTTTAATATCCATGAATTCCAGCTTCTTGGCTTCTTGTTTCTTTTATGGTTCATTCTTACATGTTATATATGTGTGTAAAGAATCATTACCAAACTGTTGGTTGTGTAGATTTTCACCTATATTATCTTCTAGGAGTTTTACAATTTGGTATTTGACAAATAAGTTTTAATCTATTTTGAGTTAGTTTTTGTAAAGAATGTATGGTCTTTGTCTAGATTCATTTTTTTTGCATGTTAAGTTGTTCCAGCATCACTTAATCAAAATATTATATTTTCTCCATTGCATTGCCTTTGTTCCACTGTCAAACATCACATGTCTATATTCATGTGGGTCTATTTCTGGACTTTGTTCTGTTTTATTGATCTCCTTGTCTATTCTTTCACCAATATCACATTGTCTTGATTATTCTAGCATTATAGTAAGTTTTGAGATTGGGCAGTGCCAGTCTTCCAACTATGTTCTTCTCCTTCAAATTGTGTTGGCTATTATATTAGTCCATTTTCATGCTGCTAATAAAGACATACCTGATCCTGGGCAATTTACAAAAGAAAGGGGTTTATTGGACTTATAGTTCCACATGGCTAAGGGGGTCTCACAATCATGCTGGAAGGTGAAAGGCATGTCTCACATGGTGGTGGCAAGAGAGAGAATGAGAGCCAAGTGAAACAGGTTTCCCCATATCAAACCATCAGGTCTCCTGAGACTTTTCACTACTGCAAACAGTATGGGGGAAACCACCCCCATGATTCTGTTATCTCCAACCACATCCCTCCAATAACATATGGGAGAGATTTGAGTGGGACACAGAGCCAAACAATATCAGCTATTCTGGGTCTTTTGCCTCTCTAAATAATCTTTAGAATCAGTTTATCAATATTTATAAAATAACTTACTGAGATTTTGATTGGAATTACATTGAGTATATAAATTAAGTTCAGAAGAATTTACTTTCTAATAATATAGAGCTTTCCTGTCCATAAACATGCAATGTCTATTTTATAAGTTATTTGATTTTTTTATTAGAACATTGTAGTTTTCCTCATATAGACCTTATACATATTTTCATAGACATACACTTTAAATTTTTAATTTTGGGCTGCTAATGTAAACGGTGTGTTTTAGAATTAAATTTTCACTGTCCATTGTTGGTAAATAGAAAAGTAATTGACTTTTGTATATTAACTTTTTATCCTGCAAACTTGCTGTAATTATTATTAGGTTCAAGAGCTTCTTTGTTGATTCCTTCAGATTTTCTACGTAGATTATTTGTCATTTGTAAGAAAAATCAGTGTAATTTCTTTCTTTACAATCCATATACCATTTATTTACTTTTTATCGCATCATTGCATTAACTTGCATTTCATGTGGTTGTAAAAATCATTAGTGAGGCGGGAATCCTTTGCTTCATTCCTGATCTTACTGGAAAAACTTGTAGTTTTCACCATTGTGACATTAGTTGTAGGTTTTTTTTTTTCCTATTCTTTAACTAGTTGAGGAACTTTTCCTCTATTCCTAGTTTACTATGAGATTTTATTCTGAATGAGCATTGGATTTTTTCCAGTTTTTTTTCTGTATCTATTGATATGATCATGTGATTTTTCTTCTTTAATTTAGCCTGTTGATGTGATGTATTACATTAATTGATTTCTGCCTTGCATACCTGTAATAAATCCCACTTGGTCATGATTTATAATTCCTTTTAAACTTTTTTCATTCACTTTGCTAGTATTTCATTGAGGATATTAAATTTATCTTCATGGGAGAGTTGCTCTGCAGTTTTCTTTTCTATGTTTTGGTATTTGGCAGTTTCCTTTTCTATGTTTTGGTATTAGGGTGATACTGGTCTCATAGAACAAATTAGAAAATATTTTCTTTGCTTCTAACTTCTGAAAAATGTGGTAGAGAACTGATACAATTTCTTCCTTAAATGTGTGGTAAAATGTACTAGTGAACTCACCTGGGCCTTGGGCTTCCTGGTTTTGAAGATTATTAGCGATAGCTTTTTTTTTTTTTTTTTTGCTAGACTTAGGCCTATTCAGATTATCTATTTCTTCTTGTGCGAATATTGTCAGATTGTGTCTTTCCAGGAATTCGCCCACTTCATCAAGGTTATCAAATTTGTGAGTATAGAGTTATTCACAGTATTCCTTTATTATCCTTTTAATGTCTACAGTATCTATAGTAATGCTCCCTCTTTTGTTGCTGACATTAGGAATCTGTACCCTTGTTTTTCTTCTTTGCTAGCCTTGCTAGAGTTTTATTGATTTTATTCATCTTTTCAAAGAAACAGATTTTTGTTGTATTGATTTTCTCTACTGATTTCATATTTTCAATTTTTTTGAATTCTGCTCTGATTTTTATCATTTATTTTCCTCTACTTACTTTGAATTTAATTGGCTATTTTTTCCTAGTATTATAAGGTGGAAGCTTATCTTGATTTTAAATCTTTCTTATTTTCTATTATATGCATTCAAGGTTATATAAATTTCCCTGTAAACACTGCCCTAACTGTATTCCACACATTTTGATAAGTTGTGTTCTTGTTTTCATTTAGTTCAAAATATATATTTTTTTAATTTTTGGATTTATTTATTCATCCATGTGTTAGTTTTACTGCTGCTGTCATTGATACTACTTACACATATACATACATAGGTATATATGTACATACATACACATACATACATTGTGAAATACAGTACAATTATTATTCAAAATGAACCGTTATGTGTTAAATCAACTAACAATAAGAAAGATTATAGGTATTCTACCTTCAGTTATTCTTTTTCTAATGTTTTTATTTTCTTTACATAGATCAAAGTTTCTGACATACATTATTTTTCTTGTCTCTAAAGGAGAACTTTCACACAGAAAACTAACAAAGAAATTCTGGACTTAAACTTGACACTTGCCCAGTTGGTCTTAATAGACATCTAAAGAATACTCCACCCAACAACTACAGAATATATATTCGTCTCATCTGCAGACACAACATACTTTAAAAATGACTGCATGTTTGGTCAGAGAGTCTCAACAAATTTGGAAAAATTAAAATTATACCCAACATATTCTCAGGTCGAATGAAATGCAAATAGAAATTACTGCCAAGAGGAATTCTCAAAACCACACAAATACGTGGAAATTAAACACATTGATCCTGAATGACCTTTGTAAAGCAAGAAAATTAAGGCAAAAATCAAAAAATTATTTGAAAAAAACAAAAATTGTGACACAGTGTAACAAAACCTGTGATATTGCAAAAGAAGTGATAAGATTTGTAGCACTAAATGCCTACATCAAGAAAATAGAAATATCTTGTTAACAACCTAACATTACACCTAAAGAAATAGAGAAAGAAGAACTAAATTCTAAATGAAGAACCCAGTTCTAGCAGAAGAAAAGAAAGAATTAAAATCAGAACAGAACTAAGTGAAATTGAGATAAAGAAAACTATTCAAAGGATCAACAAAATGAAAAGTTTGTTTTTTGAAAGGATAAACAAAATTGATAGACTGCTAGATAAACAAAGGAAAAAAAGAAGATCCAAATAAGCACAATCAGATATGACAAAGGTAACATTACAACTGATCTCGCAGAAATATAAAAGATCCTCAGAGATTACTATGAACATCTCTATGCACACAACTAGAAAATCTAGAGGAAATAGATAAATTCCTGGAAATATACAACCTCCCAAGATTGAATCTGGAAGAAAAAGACACCCTAAAGAGACCAGTAATGAGTTACAAAATTGAATAAGTAATAATAAAAAACTTACTAACCAGAAAAGCACCGGACCAGATGGATTTACAGCCAAATTATACCAGATGTACAAAGAAGGTGTGGTATCAATCCTATTGAAACTATACATAAAAAAAAAAAAAAAAAGAAACTGAGGAGGAGTGATTCCTCCCTATTCCATTACTCATTATTCAATTCAATTATTCAGTTACTCATTCTATGGAACCAGTATTATCCTCATATCAAAACCTTCCAAAGACACAATAGGCTGGGAATGGTGGCTCACGCCTGTAATCCTAGCAACACACAAAAAAAGTATTTTAACATTTTGCAAAGCATATTTACATGCATACCAATTCCTTAAATATTTCTTTGTCTGAGAAAGTTTTTATTTCCACTGTAGCCATCCTGTCCCAACCAAGGGGCATGGTGTGGAGTGATGAGAAACTCAGAAGCACATGTGAAACTCACACTCCAGAAGTATAGGCTCACTAAAAGTCATATATCTAATAATAAGGCTATAGAACATGTCCGTTACCTCCACCACACACCTTTTACTTGTGAAGGGTAACTGAAGGGTACAGAATTCTGGATTGGTGGATTTTTATTTCAACACTTTAAACATTTCAGTCCACTCTCTTCTGCTTTTATTGCTTCTGAAGAGAAGATGGGTGTAATTATTATCTTTGCTCCTCTATAGAGATGGCATTTTTCCCCACCTCTGTCTTCTTCCAGGAATTTATTTTTTATTATTGATTTTTATAGTTTGACAATAATATGCATAGGTATAGTTTTTTTGACACTTATCCAGATTGCTGCTCTCTAAGTTCCTTGGATCTGTGGTTTGGCTTCTGACATTAATTTGGGGAAATTTTCAGTTGTTAATGTTTCAAATACTTTTTCTATTTCTTTCTCTCTTCTTCTAATATTCTCACTATGTTTATGATACATCTTCTGTAGTTATGCCACATCTTCTGTAGTTATGCCACAGTTTGTGGATATCTGTGGCTTTTTTTGCCTTTTTTTTTTGGTTTGCTTAATTTTGGAATTTTATATTGAGATATCATCAAACTCAGAGATCATTTCCTCAGCCATGTCCAGTCTTCTAATGATCTCATCATAGGCATTCTTTACTTCCGTTATAGTTTCTGATCTCTAGCATTTATTTTTGGTTCTTTTAAAACTGTTTTTATCTATCTCTTTATCCATCTGTTCTTATATGCTTGGATTTTTTTATCCATCTGTTCTCATATGTGGTCTTCTTTAGTTCATAGTTGCTTTAATTCCTAGTCTGATAATTTCTACATTCCTGCAATACCTAAGTTGGTTTTTGAAGCTTTCTGTGTCTTTTTCAATTTGGGGTTTTTTTTTTCTTTTTTTTCCTCCTTTTAAAAGGTGTGTGGTGGAGGTAACGGACATGTTCTATAGCCTTATTATTAGATATATGACTTTTAGTGAGCCTATACTTCTGGAGTGTGAGTTTCATATGTGCTTCTGAGTTTCTCATCACTCCACACCATGCCCCTTGGTTGGGACAGGATGGCTACAGTGGTCTGCAGTTGGGTGTTCTTATTCCTTGTGGAAGGCTAGATGGATCTGGAATTATTTCCCTTTCCCCAGGTCAGTTAGGTTCTGAGGAAACCTCAGCACCTCAGGGTCTGGTTAAGTAACTTCTCCTGAGGGCAGATCTTGTTAAAAAGAACAGAGTGCCCTGGCATATCTGAAAATAATTCCTTTTCTTTTCCCCCTGCTGGAAGCATAAAGATATTATTTTTGCAATATTCACTGTAAGAACCTAGTAGAGCTCCTGGAGGTGAAGCTGACAAATGTGCCCCCAGTCCCCATAACTTGTTCTCACTGAAGTTTTTAATTCCCAGAGTTCTTCACACAACTTTCAGCATTTGTCAATTACTTTTCTGGTAAATTTTGTTTGTTTTAAATTATTTTGTCTGATAATAGTTTAGTTTAAATTTTAATACTTAGCTTTCTTAAAGTTAATACTTTAGCTTTCATATGGTTGCTCTTTGAATCATGTATTGCTTTCTATATTTTATTTTTAATCTGTTTGCATCTTTAAAGTTTGCTAAATCATATGTATTAGTCTGTTCTCACACTGGTATGAAGAAATACCCGAGACTGGGTAATTTACAAAGGAAAGAGGTTTAATTGACTCACAGTTTCACATAGCTAGGGAGGCCTCACGAAACTTACAGTTACGACGGAAGGCAAAGGTGAAGCAGAGACTTTCTTCACAGGGTGGCAGGATAGAGTGAGTGCAAGCAGGGGAAATGCCAGATGGTTATAAAACCATCAGATCTCATGAGAGTCACTATCATGAGAACAGCATAGGGTAAACTGCCTTCATGATCCGATTACCTCTAACTTTTCCTGAACTTGACACATGGGCATTACGGGGATTATGGGTATTACAATTCAAGATGAGATTTCAGGTGGCAGCACAGCCAAACCATATCAGCATGTTTTTTTCTTACTTTTTAAAAATTATTTATAACGATTCTTTTATTCTTTTCTCTGTTAATTTTACTTGGCCTCTCTACTTGCATTTTTTGTAGCTTGATTTTTTTCTGTGTATGAGTCACACAATTCTATTTCCTTATGGATTATCAACTTTTTTGTTAAAAATGAAACATTTAAATAATGTATTGCAACAACTCTGGATACTAATTTATCTCCTACTCTCTTGGCTCATTTTTATTGTTTTGCTCCTTGTTTTTTGATTTCCCTAAACAATTTTATTAAATTCTATTTCCCTCATAGTGTGACATCTTTGGTGTTACCTCTCAGAGGGTGCAGCCTTTGGCATACACACAGTTACCCTAGAAGGACAGTGGTTTTAGCAGGATTTTTCTGAGTGTCTCTTTTTTATGATCTCCCAATAAAGCTATGTATCAAAATTGATAGTACACCATGCACACTAAGCTCTGCTAATTACCAGCTGATTGCTTTATTTTCTACAGTACACCAGGGTATAAATTTTTCAGCAGTATGATAAAATTATGTTTGTACAGGGATAGTTTTTAAGACCAGTCTTTGAATTTGTTCTGTCCTCAGGAGGGCTCTTTTTCACTGGCGCTTCCCCTAGTTCTCTCTGGTTAACTAGGTGGCATATGGTTTACCTGATTACTTTTACAAAACAAGGGGTATTGTTTTTGAGAACATGCCTAGACTTGAACTTCCCACAGCATGTTTCAACACTAATCGAGTTATTTAGGGAAAACCTTGACATTCCCTTTGCTTATGAACTGCTTTTCTCCCTGGCAACCTCTCTGAGACACTACTCTGGTCCCTAAGCAGTGAGGTACCCTCTGATCTTCTCATTTTGCCTTTTATGGTGTTGGACCTCTGCTCTAAGAGCAACCTGGAGTGATGGACACCAAGACTCCAAGATTTTCAGTCCATTCCAATTGGGATAGATTCTATACTCTATGGTTAGAAGCTGGGTAGAGGAAAGTAGCCTTCAACCTCTTGACCACATTCACTAGGAATGTGGCCTCTTCAATATGGAATTGAAGGGATGAGGAATATTGATAACCCATCCCACCCAGTGAGATACAGTAAGCTTTCCTAAGGACTGAGAGGGAAGAGAGCCCCCATCTTCTTGATTATTTCCACTCACTTGGAGCCTTTATCAAGCCAGCCTGGGAAAGTCAGGGAGAATAGGTCATGGCTCATGCATTCTCATTGTTCTTACTGATATTTAGCAGAGTTTCTGGAAATAATGTGTCTTTATTTGGATCATGCTTTTAAAACGTTTCCAGAGACTTTAAATTGTTAGTTTTTTAAAAAGTAGTATTCACCAGTTTTGCTTGTTTTACTGGAAAGTGGGTCAGGGGAGTTCTTCATGCCTGTTATCTTGAATGTTAATCTTTTTTTAAAAAATATAAGTATATAAAGCCAAATTTTTCTTCTCTAAGCAGTACTTTAATTCTATTACAAAAAAGTGTTGCATTTTCATTTTGATCCTATTTTCTAATTTTCCTTCTCTTTAAGATTCTGTTATTTAATTTTCAAATACTTGCAGGTTTCTATATATTTTACTGTTAATGTTTTCTATTTAATTCCAATGTTATCAGAGATTACATTATGTATTATTTTAATTATTTTAAATTGATCTGTATTCATTTTGTGGCCTAGAAAACATTTTTTCTTACAGAAAAATCAATGTGAATGTAAACAATTTGCTTTTTTCCATAGTTGGTTGAAGTGCTCAATAAATGTGAATTGGCTATGGCATATGATATATTGTAAAACATTTCTATTTATTATTAACTTACCTGCTCATTCTATCAGTTATTGATACATAAATATCAGTGTGTTCAACTATGTTTGTAGATTTCTCTATTTTGTTATTAGATTTTATTCATTTTTGTTTCATATATTTTAAAATTTTTGCATTGGCTGCAAAAATATATAGAATTGGTATTCTATTTAAACCAACTTTCTTGAAGATGGCATATAGTTACTATTTCTCTTTGTCCAGTGTCAGGTCTATGCCTTTAATTGTAGTGCTTAATATCACTAATAACTAACAATGATGTAGTGTAATATTATTTTCTTTAATAATTATTAAGATTTGCCTTAAACTTACACTCTAATTATACAGTGTTATAAACTAAATTGGTATTCCTGAAAATTTACATGTTGAAGCCACAGCCTCCAATGTGACTGAATTTGGAAACTGAAAGTAAAGAGCTGGCCGGGCGCGGTGGCTCACGCCCGTAATCTCAGCACTTTGCGAGGCCGAGGCAGGCGGATCACGAGGTCAGATCGAGACCATCCTGGCTAACACGGTGAAACCCCGTCTCTACTAAAAATACAAAAAAAACAAAAAAAAATTAGCCGGGTGTGGTGGCGGGCGCCTGTAGTCCCAGCTACTCTGGAGGCTGAGGCAGGACAATGGCGTGAACCCAGGAGCGGGAGCTTGCAGCGAGCTGAGACTGCGCCACTGCACTGCAGCCTGGGCGACAGAGCGAGACTCCGTCTCAAAAAAAAAAAGAAAGAAAGAAAAAAGAAAGGAAAGAGCTAATTAAGATTAAGTGATGTCATAGGTTGAGGCCCTAATCCAATAGGGGTGGTGTTCTCCTAAGAAGAGGAAGAGACACTCAGTCCATGCACACACAAAGAAAAGGCAATGTGAGGACATAGCAAGAGGGTGGCCATATGTAAGCCACAGAGAGAGGCCTCAGAAGCAATCAATTCTGCTGGCCCCTTCTTTTTGAAGTTTCAGCCTCTAGAATTGCAAGAATATAAATTTCTGTTGTTTAAGTCACCTAGTCTGTGGTATTTATTATGGCAGTCCTAGCAAATTAATATGTAGGCTGTTTTCCCCTTCTGTCCTTTTCTGTTTTTCCTTTCTCTATGATTTTCAAAAAGATACTCAGCATATTTAAAAATTTCATTTTAGGTCAACTATTGGCTTATAAATGATAATTCTCTATTTTTAAGTGGAAATTGTCATTGCATATACTACGTTTATCTTTTTTTATTCTTTATTCATTTCTTAATATCCACATTTATATTTAGTATCATTTTCCATTGATTGAAGAACTTCCTTTAACATATTTTTAGCATAGGTCTAATGGTTATAAATTATTTCATCTTCTTTTGTAAAAATTTGTTTTACCTTTATTTTTGAATAATTTGGCTGTGTATAGAATTACATTTTTATAATTATGCTCTGTCAACTTACTATAAATTTTTTATTTGTTTTTGTTTACCTTAAACATCTTTAAAGATGTTTTTCAATAATCTGGACTACAAAAATGTCTTTTTTGTTCTGCTATATAAAATGTTTCCTTCTTCTCTTAGTGGTTTATGATTTTTTTAAAAAATTACAGATATTTATCTATTTTATTATTGTGTGTTTTTTGTTATTTTCTTTGCATTTAGTCAGTAGAGCTCAGTGAGGTACTGAATCTCTGGGTTAACAGTTCACATATAAATTTGGAAAGGCCGGCTGTGGTGGCTCATGCCTGTAATCCCAGCACTTTGGGAGGCTGAGGTGGGTGAATCACGAGGTCAGGAGATCGAGACCATCCTGGCTAACACGGTGAAACCCCGTCTCTACTAAAAATACAAAAAATTAGCCGGGCATGGTGGCAGGCGCCTATAGTCCCAGCTACTCAGGAGGCTGAGGCAAGAGAATGGCATGAACCCGGGAGGTGGAGCTTGCAGTGAGCCAAGATCATGCCACTGTGCTCCTGCCTGGGCAACAGAGCGAGACTCTGTCTCAAAAAAAAAAAAAAAAAAAATTTGGAAAATATTTGGGAACTATTTTTTCAAATATTTTTCTACTCCCTATGTCATTCAGAGACTTTATTTGCACATATATTAGAGTACTGGACATTGTTTTATTTATCTAGAGTGTCTAATGTGCTTTTAATTCAAACCAGCTATTTAAGATTTTAGTTTTTATATTGAGAGGTCCTTTTAGCTTTTTTATATCTTCCATATTTCTCCTCATTATTTGCCTTTAAACACTTGAAGTTATAATTACTACCACAACATCTTTGTCTGCTAATCCTGTCATCATAAGATCTGGTTTTATTGAATAGTTTTTCTCTTGGCAATGAGTCACGTTTTCTTGCTTTTTGGAATGCCTGGTAATTTTTTGTGTAAATTTGATATTTAGAACTTTATCTTGTTGAATATCTGGGTTTTATTGACTTCATTCTAAGAGTTTCAATTTTATCCTGGCAGGCTGTCAAGCTATATGGGACTCAATCTGCTTTTGAAGTCTGTTTTTAAACTCTGTTAGGGGCCAGGTATGGTGGCTCATTGCCTGTAATCCCAGCACTTTCTGAGGCCAAAGCAGGCAAATCACTTGAGCTCAGGAGTTCGAGACCAGCCTGGGCAACATGGTGAAACCCCATCTCCACAAAAAATATAAAAAATGAGCCAGGTATGGTGGTACACGACTGTGGTTCCAGCTACCTGGGAGGCTGAGATGGGAAGATCACTTGAACCTGGGAAGTTGAGGCTGCAGTGAGCTGAGAGCGTGCCACTACACTCCAACCTGGGCAACAAAGCAAGGCCCTATCTAAAAACAAAAACAAAAACAAACAACAACAACGACCAAAAAAACCCAACAACCAAAAGCTCTGTAAAGGCAGTTCTTTAGTGGTAGTTAAGCTCCACCACTGTGGTGGTTTCCTTCTATAGTCTGGATTGCATATGCCTGACGATCAACAAAAACTCTCCAGTCTGGGTGACTGAAAATTTAATGTTTCCCAACTTTGGGTAAAATTTAGAAACCATTCAACATAATATTTGCTGGTCATTGTTTATCCAACCCAATTGAGTTTTACTTGGCACATCGTAGTATTCAGCAATTACTCAAAAGGATCCTTATGCACATTTCTAGGGCTTAATGTCTGCATAGCTTCCTCTTCTCCTAACACTGTTCTACAAATCACAGACTCCTTAAATACCCTAATCACTATCTCTACAACCCTGTGGGTTAATTCTGTGCTTGGAGAATTCCACCCTCATCAGAGATCCAGAATGTGCAATGCCAGGGCAATACAGGGACTCAACTTGTTTGTTTGCTTTCTCTCAACATGAGAAAGCAGTGCTGTCCAATATCTGAAATTATTTTCTTGTTTTCTGGATGTTTTGTATCTGAAAATATTTGTCCATTTTTCTAGATGTTTTGGCAAGATGTTCCTTATACAACATGTTTACCCTTCAGTTTTAGCAGATGAAGCTGCTTAAAAATTTTTAAAAATAAAAATTTTCATATTATTCTCTCATACATTTCTTCAAATTCTATCTGAAAAACAATATCTCTGATGACACCTGTTCTACTTTTCCAAGGGAATGATATTTTTATTCTTTCTAGTCATAGTCCCTCCTCATATGCCATGGATCCAACGCCTTCACATGCTTTTAGAATGCCTCATTAATCGTGTCTTTCCAATCTTCATTTTTTATCTGCCTTTTGGATCTTTTTCCTAGGTCAACAAATGCAATTTTAAAAAAATCTTTAGCAATGATGCTTTTCCTTGAAGCATTTTATTTTCTTTAGCCAAATATCTTGACATAGTACTCTACCATAATTTCCATTTAGCATTTAGTATCCAACTAATGGCTATTTTATTTTCTACCTCAGTATGCCAAAAAATGGCTATAAATGAGGCCACTAAACAACAATTTAAAATGACATGTGCTTAAATCTCATCCTAGTAAATGTATTTGAATTGTCTTACAGTATCTGTTCAAAATTCAGTTCTCTCTTAACCTCCTTAAAACCACATTTTTTTTTTTTTGTTTTTGATTCTGTCACTCCAGTAGTTCATTTTTGTTTCTTTTACTGGTCTCATTCACCAGTCTCAGAACAGAGATGTGCTATTTACCATAAATCTGTGTGTTTATGTGTGTGTGGTGGATAGTGACAGAAGAAAATGTCAGTATAGAAAATGACTCATCTGACCAAAGTATACTACTAACACATTTTGGGCCACTGACCAACAATATCTTGTCAATCAGCCATGCTGTTGTACAATGTTAACAAGATTATAAAATGTATGACAGGAATTCAATGACCAAGAGCCAGAAAATAATCTTTTTGTTGCACTTGGCATACTGCTATACTTATTGGAGTATGAAGTCTCTTATAATTTCTACATACTAAAAAAATTTGAAAAAATTAGAAACTAGTGAAATAGTAGCAACGCTGATATTTGAATAGTGTGAAGAAGACCGAATAGCTTGACTTTATTTTAGAAGACAATAAGTGATATAGTCTTTAGGTATGTTGAATTATAAAAATAGAATATGTGCATTAGCTACAAGTATTTGTTAAGTATCCCAAATCTGTAAGTCATGATCTTGGGGACTGTAAGAAGATGTAGCACTCTCATCACTTTTGTCATTAAGTTTATCATCTAGTTAGACAATCTTTATAAACATAAAATATTAAGCACATTTATAAGAACATTTAATTACGGTTTACTGTAACAATGCAAGCAGTATCATAAAGCAGAACAAAGTAAGTAGAGATAAAGCTGTTCAGAGAATAATGATGCTCTTTTATTCCCCAGCATCATCAGAGTAAGAATAAGGCAAAATGGTTCAAGGTTTCTCCTCTCTTCCAAGGAAGTGGAATAATTGACTTTCACAATCTCCCTGATTTGAAAAACCATATTATAACGTGAATAGGTGATTTAAAAGGACAATCATCTGAACTGGGATGTGAGATTCTGAGGTACTCTTTAAGTATGCTAGGTAACTTCTTATCAACATTAGAGTAATAAATTTGCTAACATAATTAAACAAAAAAACAGACCTAGGTAAATATGTCATGAGGTCAACAAATTATGTGTGTATATTTGCTTACAGTTTCAGATTTAATGAGTCACATAAAAGAAATGAAAAGTAAGCCTAGGTATGAGATAGTTAGAAAGGCAAATTTGAGACTCCAATAGAATACAAGATCCTGGAACAGCAATCACTTTCAGTGACATATAAAGTAATATATACCTCTGAGGAAGAGTGTTAGAAAACTTCTCATTTCAGTTTTGGCTGTATACAGAAGCAGAGCCAGAGGCGTCATAGGAAGACATACAATCAACAAGAGCAAGAAAATAAATTGCACAAAAATCAACCCAAATTGGCTGCAAATATTAAAATGATCAGATTCAAATCTTAGGTAGGCTTATTAGTTTTTGAAAAAATAAAAAGAGTAGAGGATGAGGACATTTTTCATGCAGAGTGAAATTTTAAAAAGACTATCACAAAAAAGCAAGCATATTTATATAATAACTCATTAGAAATGCAATGTTTTACTTTGAAGTTATAATCATAATTGAATTATACATTTTATATGAAAGTTAACATTTTAATTTAAGCATTTTTAAAAATTGCAACCCAAAATAAGTAATAAAGGAATATACAAATAAATGATAGAATTGAATTTTTTAAAATTAGAATATCAGTAGTTTTTCTCAATTGGGCTAAACTATCCTGTCAGAAGATATAGATTGACAAGACTGTAAATGGCAATATTATAATTCTTATCTTAACATATGTTTTTGCCAGACACAGAAGGAAATATAGTGGTGTAGAAAAGCTACAAGCAGGGAAAAATTAACAACAACAAAAACAATGGTGGAACAATGCAAATAGATAAGTTGACACTGAAGAAAAAAAGTATTACTAGGGAAGAAGAGAGTAACTTCATCATAATAAAAAGTTTAAACACCAGTTTATAGTAAGTTATAACAATTCTACAGTTATATGCAGCCAATTTACAAAATATATAAAATTGTATGCCTATAATTACATTAAATCAATTGTTTCAGTAATTGATAGATTCTTCAGGGAGAAACAATCGGTAAGAATACAGAAGTGACTTTCTGATATTTAACTTTGTAGTTTTGTTGAGATGTAAAATTAGGGGTTTATACAAATGTTTTCAAGGGCTAGCCAACCACGTTGTGAATCTAATCATTTAGAAAATGAAACACATATGCCACATTTTGCAAAATCTGCTGTGTCTATATTACTAAGTGAAATCAAGTTTACTCTAAAGCTAAGAGGAGAGCCATCCACTTAGTGTAACCTTCTAGTAAGTGGTTTGATAAAGTAAGAATCTTTTTTATGAGCTAATTCATCATCTCCTAATTTATGCTTTAGGAGTTTGGATTTATTTAGAATGAGTTTCATTAAAATTAGCTGAAACCACAGTTCAATCTGTTAGAAAGTATTCCTACCATAGTAACTGACATCAAGTGTACTTTAATGAAACATGATCCCTGTGACAGATTAAATAGACAGTGCTTAATTTTTTCCAGATTCTGCCACAAAAATGACTGTATAGCATTGAGATATCCAGTAATTCAGGGACAATTACTTTATCATAATTATGTCTTGCATTGCTCTGAAAAAGTGTGTCTGGTTGTCAAGCTGAATTTTTTTTTAGCACACCTGGAGGCCATCAATCGAAATTTTTGCTCTTCTGTGACAAGAGCATGGAGGTTAAGGTAGTGCTTTCTATAAGCAGACTGTCATTTTACTCCTTTCTGGTTGTTTGACATTGGATATGCATCTTAACCCCTCTATGCTTTGTTCTTAACCCCTATATAACACATAGTTTTTTTCTCCAAAGCGAAGCTGATGATAATCTTGCTGTTATATTATAAAAGATAAAGAAATAAATAATGTAATAAATAAAATGAAATGAAAGAGATGTAATAAAAAAGAGATGAAACATTAAAAAAACAAAACAATGTGCCTTGTAAAAATGTACGCTGAAGTTGTACCCATTTTTCTTTCATTATTGTCATCAGAATGATAATATAGTTCAATGTACCACAGTAGATACTGAAAACACATTACACACATCATCAAACTTTGGTCTTCATTGTCCTCTGAAGGGACAATTTCTCTATTTTTAAAGATTCTTAAGATGTCAAAGAAAATTACAGACAAACGAGTCAGCCACCAAGGGAACAAAAGATCAATGCCATACTTTGGTGCTTAGTGGCCTC
Source organism: Homo sapiens (assembly GCF_000001405.40). Classification (NCBI taxonomy): domain Eukaryota; kingdom Metazoa; phylum Chordata; class Mammalia; order Primates; family Hominidae; genus Homo; species Homo sapiens. The sequence continues at coordinate 52,116,566 of NC_000002.12, forward strand.
AAAACATAGTGGTTTCCATCCAAATGTGGAGAGTTGATTATTTAATATCTTAATATGAATACATTATTTCATTTGACTCTATAGATTTTTTTAATAAGTCCAATGATGCAAATTCTAGAATACATTATGGATTTCTCTATTTCAGACCAGTGACTTAATTCAATTAAGTTCAAATGAGCAAGTTCAGATTTACAATCATCAGTTTTGTTGTTAGATCTGGGTATCTGCAAAAGCCCATATCTGCTTTCTTGTGTCAGCAGAAGAACCCAGCGTTTGCAAAAAAACAGTAATAAACAATTTTTCTTTAAGATACTTGAATCAACCAAGTTATTTCTAAATAGTAACCACAATGGAGAGTAGACAATTTTCTCTTAAACTTTTTGTGAACTTTGATTTGTAAACTAGGCAGAATGTTTGATATTTAAAAGTCCAGGAAGCAAATTCTCATACATGCAGAATCACAACATGCCCAGGCTACACTTGGGGATATTGACTAGCATGCTTAAAGAACTCTTGGGAAACAATTTTTCATGAATCTCTTATGTCTGTCTCCAGAACTTGGAAGAGAGGCAGTGGCTGCCTATAGTTGAGTGACATTTTAAAATACTTTACTATATTTGTATAGTAAACAGTCTTAGAAGACAGAAATAATGTATTTCTCCAAAGCTAAAGCCAGATTTGATTACAGCCTTGGAAGACAGAGATGGTGTCTCCCTCTGGGCAAAGGGCAGGTATGCTTACTGCCCGTTATAAAAGTTTTTATTTCTTAATCTTGGGATTCGTCTTCTATAATGTAACTCATTGCATGTGTAGGTGTCGTTTGTCCCTCTTTTGAGTTGCCTTGTGAGAATTAGGGCATAGGAAACTGGCACAAAAATACTGATAGTCTGATGCAATTTCTATGAGTGATATTCTCTCCTTCATCTCTGACTCATGGTTCTTTTGAAAGCCTGTTGCAGGCTAACTTGTTAGCTTGTAAGTAGGGTAAAGTCTCAGCCTTTTCACAGTTCTTAACAAGAACAAGCTAGTTATGTTCTTGAAAAATTATAAAAAGGAAGCTATTCCTTAGCTTAAAGTTTGAAAAAAGATAAATTCCAACTTGTTATCACATAATAATATGCAACATATTTTAAGCTATATGCTAGTAAAATTCAAAATAAGCCATTTCTAAAGTTGAATAATACAGATAGCATTAAAACACAAAAAAGAGTTATTACAAACATAAAGAACAAGAAATAGAATTAGTTCTTGGTAAACTTTATTTTAATCAGAGAAAGTTATAGTATAATATTTAATTATGCCAAATTCTGTTGGAGGGAGAAAGTAACTCTATAGAATTTTTACCAGGTAAAACCTATAGTATTTTTGCTCTTTCATTCAACAAGCATCTATTAATTGATTAATTCACTCAACCCTTTCCCTTCTCAGTGCACAGAAAATGTCATACACATATTGAAGCCTGGCAGTAGAATAGATACTTTAGCTCACATGTGGTTTTATATTAGTTTTTCCCATGAAGAATAACTACTACTAATACTACATGCAATGATACAAAATTTACCGCCTGCTACCAACACCTCTGGAGATACTGATGTTTCCAAATACAAACATTTATGAGAAGTTAATATACAAATACAATTTCATAAATTGAAAAATTCCAAGCATGTATAAATAGATAAGATCAATAACATCACAATAGTTATTCAAGTGGCTCATGAAACCTTTGCCAAAGTAGATCAGAAAAAAATTATCCTTTTACAATAAGTGAGAACAATGGTAAAGAAAGTATAATATCAACAATCCATCCAACTGATGCTTTTCAAGCTCCTACTAAGCACATTTTATACAAGCTCTCTTTTAATAAAATGTAATAAATCACACTGTAATAGTATATAGCTATATAGTGTAGACATAAAAATAAAATCAGACCCAAATAACTTTTGTTTGCAAAGTAATTATGCATTGTAATAGAGAAACGTTGAGGATTTATGATAAAATTTATTCATTCAACAAGAATATTTGAGACCTACTATTTGTAAAGTACAGCTTTCAGCTTTGGGAAATACATTAATAAATGAAAGAAATTCCCTTCCCTCGTTTATCTACATTCTAGTGTAGAAGACTGGTAATAAACAAATTACTTAAGAAAAGTGTATGTCATATACAGTCATATATCACTGTCATACCAGACAGTAATAATGAAAGAAGGAAAAAAATAGCATTAAGAAATGGGATAAAGATTGAAGTTTTGAGGAAAGGTGCTATTTCATACCAGTCAGTTACAGACTTCTGATAAAGGAACATTAGAAGATAGAACTGACTAACAAGGGTGAGAAACCCATGTAAATAATAGGGAAGGGTGTGCTAGTGAAGTAAACCAAGACAAACGATATATATGTAAGGCCATGTAATGGTTTTGATTTTATTTAGCATGGCATGAAAGGATGAATAATGAACAAAGACTGTCAATTGGCCAACATGGAAAAATTGTTGTCCCTGACAAGAGATTCATTGGATTTATGAGAAGGAAACTCCAAATAAACCTACAAAAATGCCTACAGGGGTTCCATATAATGCTAATCATTTCAATGTCACATTCTTTAACATTATTTGACATCTCTCCCTTTCTGAAAACCTCCAGTATTTCTTCTACTCTCTTCAACACTGCTGTTTATCTGCATAGTACCTCAACATAATTAACATTGTACATCTGTCAGCCAACACGAATCTGAGCGCACATATTTTAACCTTCTCTCTGTTTAAATGAAGAAGCTGTGTCATGCGACTATCTAGAATCAAATCCTCCATTTTTGCAGCAGTATCTGTAGATAGGATCTATCCACACTCGCCTTCTCCAGGACCTTGTTCCTCCCTCATCTCACCTTTAGTGTAATTCTTTTACTTTCTACTTTATTATTCGCATTAATATTAAACACAGTATAGAGTCCCAACATTTAAAATAAAGATCTCATAATCTCATTCTAGTCTCACTAATTTGCTCACCTTTACAGCATAACTCTTCATAAGAGTTGTCAATACTTACTCTTTCCTTTTCTCTCTGCCCATTCTCTCCTATATCTACTCTCATCAGTATATTATCAATTTTATATTTTTGTAAATGTAATATATACAGAAGAGAAGAAAAAATATTGTAAAATATGTTTATGAGCTTTAATACCAAATCTAAGAATAAAAACCTATTTAGATAAAAGTTGAGAAGAAAAAAAAAACTATTTAGAAAAAAAAAGAGAAACACTTGCATTATTGAAGCAAACAAACTGAAGACAAGCAAACAAAAAAATTGTTCATCAAGGTATCAGCTTTACACAGACATAATTTCCCTGATAATACTCACCACTTATCTATTTTATATAATATTTTTTCAAAACCAAGGTTTTCAAAATGGTGATGATCTCATTTTTAATATGAACAGAGGACAGAGAATGCAAACCTGAATGTTCGGCTTGTCTTTTTTGCTATTCCAATGCTTCCTTTTTTTATCACCCTCAAATTAATGAACAATAGAGTAGACTAAAGCAAGAGGTAAGTTCTCATTATTTTAAATTTATGCATTTGCATAATGACTGTAATTGCCGAATGAATATATTCACTTCATTGTTAATTATTTTTCTAAATGAAAGTAAAAAATTGACATGTAAAGAATCTTTCAGAGAAGTAGGCAGAGAAAAGATTTCTTTTCTGTTTCAGACATCCTCATCAAATGACTTCCTCCATACAGGCTCCATCTGCACTGCCTGTTTTCTACTAGGTTAAAACTCTCTCCAAAGGCCACATTTGACAGTGTGACTGCTAATGCCAAGTCAAGACAAGAAAATCAGGAAGGCTTTCTCTCTTTCTTGTAGACTGATGACCTTTTTGAAACATATTACAAAATAGGATGCATTGAAGGAAGCATCTGGGGATTGCTCAGCATATATTTTGAAGCATTCACTTGCTTTATGCAGTAAGCAAGGGAAAATGTTACAGATTTTGCAGATATGCTGTTTTCAACTTGGGGAAATATTATAATAAAATCTGAAAAATTAAAATAAAAAGTAGTAACAGTATGACATTGTTGATTTATTTACTTTCTAAACAAAGAGGTTCAGATGATTTTGATTTGACTTTTGATTACCAAAGGAAGCTTCTACTGGAACAAAAAGTGTTGATAGCAGAAATATGGGGTTTACCAAGCACTTTTCTTGAAATGCGATTTTGTTTATAAAATTTTATTTTTCTTTAGTAAGATCAGTAAGAACATAGATGCACCTTGGAATCAGCAAAGTGTTGTATAAGGCAAAGTTTAGATAATGTCTTGCCTTTATTTTGTCTAAAGCAAATCCAATATTTTTTAAAAGTTCAGCTAAACATAAAGAAACAAATTATCTAATATTTCTCTAACAGCAGTTACATGTATTACATGTGGGTATATATGTATATGTGTGCAAATCTAATTTATTCTTTTTACTATTTCATGGTGGTCTATAAACAGAGAGAAATTATAAGTGGTATATGAAGCATGGTGATCAAAGGCCACATTTGACAGTGTGACATGTGGTATGAACAATTTCTGAGGGAATTTATTATAAATACAAACATATTTTGATTTTCACAATCTTTACTCACTAAAAAATAAAATAAATTGGATTGAATTTAAATCAATTAAATTAAAATTTGAAATTCCATTTCTTAAATTCATTAGGTATATTTCAGTGGCTCAGTAATCCCCAATGGCTAGCAGCTAGCCTATTGAACAGTGCTTACTATACAACATTTACATCATTGCAGGAAGTTAGTTCTATTGGATAGCACTAATCTTTATTTCAAGCAGACCTTTTGATAAACTTTGCATTTATTTTTCTCCCTGCTGTTCTTTAACCTATAAGGGCACACTGCTGTGAGGTATACAAATGTCATATTTTTATTTAATTGAATACATTTTCATAATATAACCTTTCAAAACACTAGATATAAAAGCAAAATTTCCAAATCACATAAAAGACATCTGTGGAAAAGTCACAGCTATAACATATTTAATACTGAACTGTTCAATGACATCCAAACTAAGATTTTGAATTTTGTTGAAAATGTTTTTGAATATTTGAGATGATCACTTGGTATTTCAACTTCACTTTGTTATTATGGTGAATTACTCAGATTATTTTGAATGTTAAATTAAACTTATATTCCTGAAGTTAACCTCATTTTGTTGTGATGTCTTGTTCTTATTTCTTTTACATATAACTCTACTCGATATGATAATAATGTTTAAGAATTAAGGAATCTATTTATATTAATGGTATTGGTCTATAATATTATTTTAATTCTACAGTCAAGTTTGATACCAGGGTTGTTAGCCTCATAAAATAAATTGTGAAGTGTTACCTCCTTTATTTTCTAACAGATGCTGCACAGTATCATTATTATTATATTCTCATTAAAAGTTTGATAAAATTCTCCTGTGAATCCATCTGAAGTTTTCTTTATAATAAAGTTTTTAATTATGAATTTAATTTACTCAGTAAATTAGGGCTATTCATATTTTATGTTTCTTCTGTCAGCTTTAGTAAAGTGTATCTTTCAAGGAATTATGTTTTGAATCTATTGGTATAACTTTAGTGTTTTACATTTATTATTATAAACTTGTTTATGATATTGGTTTTTTATCCTTTTAATATCCCTAGGCTATGTAGTGATAGCCGCTATTTAACTCCTCATAACAGTGTTTGTATTCATGCTGTCTCTCTCTCTCTCTTTCTCTCTCTGTCTTCTCTCTGTCGCCTCCCATCTCATTTTACTGTAAAATGTCCATTGAACATTTTGTCAGTTTTATTAATCTTTTAAAACATCAGGCTTTGGATTGTTTTTGATTGATTTTCTTTTGTTTTTCTATTCATTGTTTTTCTCTTATATTTATTATGATTTCCTTCTACTTATTTTGAATTAATTTTTCTTCTCTTAGCTTCTTAACATTAAAATGTAGATCAGTTTTTTATTAATTTCATTCATGTTAATATACAATAAGTCACTTTTTGATGTAAATTCTTATGATTTTGAAAAAGTCATATAGTGACATAACTACCACAATAATCAAGATATAAAGCAATTCCATCACCCCTCACAGTTCTCTCATATCACTGTAGTGACTCATCCCCATCCCCCATCCTTGCAATAACTGACCTTTAAATGTTCTATAATTATAATTATTTTTAGAATCTCTTATACACGGAATCAGACAGAATGTAATCTTTGATTCTTACTTCTGTTTCTTAGCATAATGCATTTCATAATTACCCATCAGTTTGCCTATTGTAGTAGTTTGTGCATTTGTATTGCTGAGTACTAATCTGTTGCATGCATCTATCAGAAATCCATTTAACTGATAAAAGACATTTGGATGGTTTCTAGTTTGGGCAACTTTGAATAAAATTACTGTGAACATACACATAAAGCTTTTTTTTTTAAAGTAAGTTTTCATTTATTTTGGGTAAATAACTGGGAATGGAATTGCTAAGCTATTAGTAGCTGTATGTTTAAATCTAAAACATTGCCAAACCCTTTTTCAAAGTGGCTATAAGATGTTGTTTACCGAAGAGCGATAAATAATAGTTACCTTTGCTCTACAGCCTTGCCAGCAGTTGATATTGTCAGGTTTTATTTTATGCTATTTATATTCATAATGCAAATCTTACTTGTCATCGGAATAGCTTTTTGGTGAAATATCTGCTCAACTGTTTTGTCTATTTTTTAATAGAGATATTTTATTAACATCAAGTTTTCAATATTCTTCTAATTTTCTGGATAAGAGTTACCTAGCAGGTAAATGTTTGCAAATATCTTCTCCTGTTTTATGGCTTGTCACAGAGCAAAAATATTTATCAACTTTTGATTTATCAGCTTTTAATAGATTGTGATTCAGTCATTGCCTAACTCTAATTCCAGTTTACAAAGATTTTATCCTGTATTTCCTTCTAGAAGTTTTATAACTTTACAACTTATATTTAGGATTTACACTTAACTCATTTTGAGTTAAGTTTGAGATGCAGTGTGAATTATGAAATGAGGTTCATTTTTATGATATGGATGCCCTATTTTTTCAGCAACATTTGTTGAAAAGACTATCCTGTCTCCATTGATTCAGCTTTTCAACTTTGTCAAAACTCATTTAAGCATGAACCTATTTCTGGGCTGTATTCTATACCATTGACCAATGTATCTTTCCTTTCCCCAGTGTTATACTGTCTTGATTGTTGTAATTTTTTATTAAGTATTAAACTTGAGTAATATAAATCCTTCAGCTTTATTCTCCTTTTCAGTTTATTTTAGCTTTTCTATTTGCTTTGTTATATTAATCTTAGAATAAGCTTATTAATATCTACATAATATTCTGCTACAATTTTGAGTGGGATTGGGTTGATTCTTTTCATCCAGGATAGGATATATCTCTTTTCTTATTTGGTCATTCTTTGCCTTTTCTCATCATGGTTTGTAGTTTTCAGCATACAGATCCTACACATATTTGTTGTATTTTCACATAAGTATTTTGTGTTTGGTGGGTTATTTAAATTATAATTATAATTATTACATTAGATAATTAAATGTGTATGTATATGTGTGTGTATGTATGTAGATAGATAGACAGACAGACAGACAGTTGGGACTCAGACAATAATACCTCAAATATGGTGTTCTGACATGCTGAACTAAAGAAGAAGCCTCAAGGTCTCTCTCTGACCTTCCCCCATCTCCTTGTCTTTCTGTTCCTCTTTTTTTGCCAACGCACTGGGAGAGGCTGCTTCTGGAAGTTTTCTTATTTGACGGAGAAAATGCCTAAAAGACATACAATTGTCTTGTAACTCCCTCCCTAGAAATCTCATTAAATAACCAGGAAAGATTTACCATAGGACAAAAGACTAAAAATCTCTATGCCAAGGACACCATACGGAGACAGACTTCTCTTCTAGTCTTCTGAGCATGAGAGATTACCTGGAAGACTGTATGTACATAATAAGACAACCTCTGTTCTCAGTGTACCTGTCTCTCACCTATAATTTGTCCACAAGCTATTGTCTGTCCTTGCAAGCCATTCATTGTCCAAAAGGCATCATTTGCAAACCACTGTCTGGTATTCAGGCTCATTCATTTATAGCACCCCCTCCCCACTTTCTTCTTCCCAGTGAAGGGGTAACTAAGTATCAACCATCTGGCCCTTTTTTGAGTTTTCATATTGTTTGTATGGCTCCTGTGGTTATGTGTATTAGTACATTTATTATGCTTTTCTGTTTTTAACCTGTCTTTTATTACAGGGGTGTTGGCCATAGCCTTTATAATGAGGAAATGGATCATCTCCTTTCTACCCCTATGCATATATATGCATTTACCCACACACATTTACATTTACATTTCCAGTTGTCCAGGATTTTGTAATATTAGCCTTGTATTCTACACAATTTGTATTCTACAAAATTAATCTTATCTAGTAGTTATTTTTATAAATTTCTCTATGTAGACAATAATATCTTTGTAGAGCCAATTATAGCCTTTCCTTTTCAATCATGATGCTTTTATTACTTTTTCCTGCCTTAGTCTCCTTGCTAAGACTTCCATATGAGGTTGAATACAAATGAAGAGAGGGCATTCTTATTTCTGAACTCAGGGAGAAAGTATTTCATTCTTTTTTCTTTAAGTATAAAATAAGCTACAAGTTTATTTTGTAGACACACTTTTTCAATTTGAGACCATTCAATTCCTAGTTGAGGGAATTTAGTTTCTAGTTCATTGAAAAATTTTGCCTTGAATATATCTTAAATAAAATAGTTTTCTTCATCTATTGAGATGAACGTGTTGGTCTTCTACTTCACCCTTTTAATAAGATAACTTATAGTGATAGATTATTGAATATTAAACCAGCCTTATATTTCTGAGATAAACCTTACTTTGTCATGGTGTATGATTCTTTTACATATATTGCTGTAGTTGTTTTACTAATGAAGTGGTCTTGTTGTCTGGAGTAAATACCTGGGGTTCATCATCTCATGCCAAGAAGATTAAAGGACAAGGACACACACAAGGAGTTAGTTTAGGAGCGGAGGTTTAACAGGCAAAAGAAAGAGAAAAGAGGGCATCTCTCTCCCTTCCAAGAGAGAGGGGGTTCCAAAAGGAAAATCCAGCCCACATTGAAGTGCACCAGATTTTATAAGCGGGCTTGAGGAGGCAGTGTCTGATTTACTTAGGGCCCACAGATTGGTTGGACCAGGTGTGACCTTTATATAGTGTGTGGGAAGCTGACCACCCCACCCTAACCGTATTATGCAAATGGACTTTTCACTTGGCTGATGCTAGGTTGTCTGCTCCTTACTGTACACATGGCTGGCAAAGAGAAGGGAAGATGGAGCCACCATTTTGAACATGCCTAGACCCAGGTAGCCTTTTCCTATTGGCATGGCTGCTGGCATTCACCCATCCAAGCTTCCAGCTATTCTTGTCTACGTCTGCAGCTTGATTTTACAGGCCACTCTTTGTTAGGAAAAAAAAAAAAAAGATTTTTGAGCTGCTTTTTATTAAAAGGAAAACCTTACCAAAGACTCTCATACCCTCACTATCTGCCAAAGTAATTTCTTCTTAACTCTTATATCAATAATATTTTGTGAAAGTAGTTATTTGTTTGCTCATAGACATACCGTTCATTAGTTTTCTTGTGATGTGTTTGACTGGTTTACTATCAGGATAATGCTGATGTGAAAGGAAAATAAATCTTGGGGCCCCCAAATCACTAAGCTAAAGGGAAAAGTCAAACTGGGAACTGCTTAGGGCAAAACTGCCTCCAATTCTATTTAAAGTCACCCCTCTGCTCACTGAGATAAATGCATATCTGATTGCTTCCTTTGGAGAGGCTAATCAGAAACTCAAAAGAATGCAACAATTTGTCTCTTACCTACCTATGACCTGGAAGCCCCTCCCTGCTTCAAGTTGCCCCACCTCTCCTTGAAGTTTTGCTGCCTTTCCGGACCTAACCAATGTTCATCTCACATATGCTGATTAATGTCTCATGTCTTCCTAAAGTGTATAAAACCAAACTGTGCTCTGACCACCTTGGTCACATGTCATCAGGACCTCCCGAGGCTTTCACAGGCACGCATCCTCAACCTTTGCAAAATAAGCTTTCTAAGTTACCTGAGATCTGTCTCAGATATTCAGGGTTCACATTTTGGTAACCATGGAGGGATTCTGAGTGGAGATGCCCCTGACCTTTCAAAAATCTCCTGTCGGTGCTTGGTACCAGCATGAACTAGCTTTTATGGCTCTAACCAACAGGAAAATTTGCTGAGGTCTGGGAGCATCCCCTCCAGAAAATCCTGATCTCCCAAAATTTAGTCGAGATTTAAAGTTTACTTTGCTGCCACCTCACTTTTTTTTTTTTTCTTTTTTGGAGTTTTACTTGCTTCCAACAAGGAAGGCAAGATTTCCTGCTTCCATGTAGATGGAAGGCAGGTAACTCCTTTATGAAGTTTGAGCTCGCTCCCAGCAGGGAAGACGAGTTTGAGTTTTTTCCTGCCTCTAGGATGGTAGAGAGCAGCCTTCAGCCTGAGACTGATTCCTAAGTAAATAGTTGAATTGGGGTTTGGTTGTGGCTGAAGTTTAACAACCAGCTGATTTTTATTTCTTCTTACCATTAGAGTGCTCAGTGATCACATGGTTGGAATTTGTTTTTGTTGTCTGTTCCAGTCTTTTTTTTCTAGTTCTACTAGATTTGGTCAAATCCAAGTGAGAATTCCAAATTATGGATAGATAACAAAGGTTCTCTAATTAGGCTAAAGCTTCTCACAGCTGCAAAAGAGGAAAAAATAAAAAATAAATCTTGTGCTTGGTTTCTGTGCTTTCTGTCTTAAAAAAAATGTTCTTTTGTTTACTTTTTTTCCACTCTATACCTTCTTCCCCCTTTGCCATCTGCAGTACCAAAAAAACCTAGAGAAGGGTTCTAATAACTTGAATCCCTTTAAAGAATTCAGAACAAAAGCACCACTCACCCCTTTTGAGGTGTTCTGTTTTCTTTGTGGAGTTTCAAGAATCATGGGCAGATTCTTCTTAGGTCTAAAGCTCTGTTTTCTTTATTGCATGACCTGACCCCTTTGGTTTTAAGGGTAGCAGAGATGACCTTGTACTGTGAGAGGATTTGACCTTGGTTTGCGTAATGGTGGATGAGAGCTACACAGTTAGGGGTGGCTGAGCATGGTTTACAGGAGCACAGTTTACAGTTTATAGGAAGTTTACTTGGCTGTTTTTTTTCCTCCTAGGAATTTCCTGTTTAAGGATCCTAATTCTAGTTCAGAGATGCATTCTAAAGGGTCTTCTTTATTGCTCTTTTTCCCAAAATTAATCCTGATTTGGCTTGTCTGTATTCATGTTTGAGGAACTGAACAGTTGTTTTCATAAGTAAATGAGTGACCGAATTTTCTCAGCTCCAAAGAGAAAGGGCATTGTGCTTCTCCTAGCTGAAAGGCACCCCTGAGTGATCAGTGGGCTTGTGGGATTGTGTGGGGGGTTGATTCCCCATGACATGCAGCAACCCTACTGAGAAATCCCCAACAAAAATATTTTTTTTAAAAGGCTCATCCAGGAAATTCATATAAGGGCTAATCATCTGATGTTATGAGCCGTCTCAGAGGTCAAAGACCTCTGGAAAGAGAAACTGAGACACGTAAGAGGGTGGAAACAACTCAGTGGTGACAAACTGTGGACTCCTGCCCACAAGCAGCACCCAACAATCCACCACACAAAAACCCTAGGCCACAGCTTAGTTCCTCCTTTTAAGAAAAAAAGTGGGAGACAAATAAGAATGAAGAGTAAACAAGGAGAACGACCTCCTTTCAAGCACTTCATAGACTTTATGGCACCTCTACTTGCCAGAGTTTATGTAAAATGGAAGTAATATGGTCTTTATGCACATTTACATTAAGGGAAAATAGGCCCTAAGGCCATCCTGCAAACTGTAGTGTTACTAAGTTCTCTTTTTCTCTATTTTTTTCTGTCTGCTTTAAATCTGCTACTATTTTTTTTATTAAGACAAAACACTGTTTGAATTCAAAAGGTTTTTATTTGCAAGCTGCTGAATTTGTATTTATCTCATGTTTAAGGTTCTTAAGTAAAAGCTATAGGATCTTTGTGTGTATGTATATGTGTGTGTGTATGTATTTAAAAGGCCTTTATAATGTCTATAATTTTATGTTTAATTGGCAATTAAATCCATTTTAGTTTTTCTCTAGCACACCAGACTTTTTCTCTCCATACCTTATGATGTAAATTTTGCTATTTGATTTTCACCTGAGTTATTTACTTTAATATACAAATTTAAGGCTATTTAGGTGACAACTGACTAGGGTAGTGAAACAGGTTATCAAGAATTTGAAAATCTAACATAGGAAAAATAAAGGCTTTTATGAACCTACACAATAAACTTTTATTGGCATGCCTAATATGTCTATGTACACAATGTTTCCTTACTGAAAATACGTAAAAGAGTTCTAATTAATTGGCTTAAGAAAACAAAAGCACTTGAATCAAATGCTTTATCAAGAAAAAAAGAAATGACTTGTCAAATATTTTTTCAAGTTTATGTAACTTAAGTAAAGTCTTTAATAAATAAGCTAGCTTTAAAATTATTGGTAATGTAATATTAGAAATGTTGTAAGAATTGCCAGCATACATTTTTATTTGCATTTATTAATCAGGCAATTTCATACTTATCCCTGCTAAATATTATAAGGTATCAAAATTTGGCATAGGAGTTACATAAATATAAACCCACCCCAAAGAAGAATGATTTTTGCTTGGATAATCTTTAATAAATATGACATTGATATTTGTTTAATGAAAATAGCTACATCTTGAACCTAGTAAGATTATCGTAACTTCTAGTCTTGTGGCTTTGGTCATCTAGTTCACAGGCAGTTCACACATTCTAGTTCACATTCTCCTCTCTCAAAGAAGGAAGGCTTTTGTCTGTTTTTTGAAATCCGTGACTTATTACTTTGGTCCAATGAATGATTTATTTTATAGTAAACTCTGATATCAAGTATTTTAAACTTTTAATATTTGACAGACTTTCAAAAGCCAAATTATAAATTATGTATTTTTCTGATCTAATTAATCCTTTAAGATTTTGGTTTCCCTAAAGTCCAAAAAATAACATAATTTGGCTTATTTGGTGTAAAAATTATACAGGACACATTTTCAAATATGAAATGGTGTTTAGTTTTCTTTGGGCTGTATTTGTATAAATATGTTATTGGTATGTGTTCCAAAATCATGGGAAATTCCTGTAATTGATATGACTTATCAGTAATAATTATAATTTATAATTATTATGTTAAATTATTGTGCCACAGAGGGAAAAAAATTTCCTTGTTAGTTGTGTCTTTGACTATGGCTGCCCTAAAACTTCTTGTCATCCATGGACAATTGTTGTCTTGTTTTGCTCCTCTTTGAAAGGTGGTTTTATAATCCACTATAAAACTCTAACAGGTGCTCCTGAATGCAGGTTTCTGATAACTTTGGATATTGTGAAATCAGAATAGGGGAAAAACTTTCAGGACTCATGGAGAGCTGAAATGTTCATGAATATCAAGCAGAACAGGAATTAACTGCATGGACTGAACTAATAGAAGACTGAAGTAATCTTTTTGACTTTTAGCTTAAAACATTGCTGATCCTTTGTTTTGTTGTGTTTTTTCAGAGTCAAGAAAACTTTTCTTTTGAGCCATTGACAGGTATTAACAAGTTAGTATACTCCTATGAACAAAATTTGGAGCATATCTGTTTCTCTCTAACTGATTTCTCCAGAATTTGGAAACTATTTGTGACTTATGGCAATACAGTTGTTTGCATAAGTTCAGTAAGAATCTGTTTTTATTTGTAACAGGACACAATTGGAGAAACTGGTTGTTTTACCAAGACTTTCACCCGCATCGTGTGCTTTCCTTTAAAGAATCAAACTTGACTTATGGAGCCAATAAAAGCCCCTTGGGATAACCGGCCTCATACCTTGTCTACACAGTCCCTGTACAGGATTCCTGACTTGTGTTAAGTAAAGAATGTCACTTTCTGACAGGCCCAGGAGGCCCAAATTTATCTTGGGACCTCAAGAGGAGAAGAATTTACCCAGCTTATAGTTATTCGATGGTACAAATCCATGGCTGAGCTCAGATTTTTAAAAGTCTTATCTGAGATTCCTTCTAAGGAACAAAATTACATCAAAGCCAATTTAAAAGCCTATGTACAAAATAATTATTCTTGCTTCTACATATACAAATAATCAGGCCTAGTATGATAAAGCAAATCAGTCCTACCATGATTTGTCTTTAGTAAAAATGGGAAACTGGAGAGATAAGTATTATGTTTCAAAAGCTATAATACACCTGTAGTTATTAGGTTGGTGCAAAAGTAATCGCATTTTTCGTCTTTAAAAGTAAATTCTTAAAGCCCTGTGAACTGAAGCTAGAAAACTTTAGAAGAAAATAACAACAACCTATTTACATGCATAAGCCACTTTCATAGCCACCTTCTGATGTGTGAACTTCAGAGTAATGTGGCCTTTATTGGTTTTTGAGGATTATTCTTTTGTTTGTTGTCTTTTTCTCCCTTCCTCCTTCTCTTCATAGGACATAAGACTTAACAACCTGCTAAAATGAGCTTTCATAATAACTCAGGACCTACCTGCCTAGTAATAAACCAGCCTAGCCATGAGAGATCAGATGAAACACGAGATCAGAGACTCATTTTCTTCTAAAATGCTTTCTCCAAAAGATTTTATAAAAGAATACAGGGGAAATGTGAAAGGAAAATAAATCTTGAGGTCCCCAAATCACTACAGAAAAAAGTCAAACTGGGAACTGCTTAGGGAAAACCTGCCTCCCATTCTGTTTAAAGTTACCCCTCTGCTCACTGAGATAAATGCATATCTGATTGCCTCCTTTGGAGAGACTAATCAGAAACTCAGAAGAATGCAACCATTTGTCTCTTACCTACCTATGACCTGGAAGCCCCCTCCCTGCTTCAAGTTGTCCTGCCTTTGCTTTGAGTTGTCCTGTCTTTCTGGACTGAACCAATGTTAATCTTACAGATGTTGATTGATGTCTCATGTCTCCCTAAAATGTATACAACTAAACTGTGCTCTTAACACGTTGGGTACATGTTGTCAGGACCTCCTAAGGCTGTGTCACCGGCAAACATCCTCACCCTTCGCAAAATAAACTGTCTAAATCAGCTGAGACCTGTCTCAGATATGTGGGGTTCATGCTGGTCTCATAAAACACACAGGAAATTGATCCATCAACTCCTATTTTGTAGAATGTTTATTACTTATCCCTTAAATGAGTGGTGGGATTTGTGAATAAATATATCTAGTTCTGGGGTTTTACTTTATTGAAAGATTTTAAGCTTAAATTTTAATTTACTTAACAGATTTGGAATATTCTGTTATTTTCTTTTTGAGTTAGTTTTGGCAGTTTATCTTTTAAGGAATTGATCTATTTCATCTAAGTTGTCATAAGCAGATACAAGTTGTAATATTTTCTTATACCTCAACATATGTAAGGTATCCTTCATTCTTTATGCTCATAATTTGTGTCTTTTACCTTATTTTTCTCATCCTTTTACTAAGAAAAACAACTTTTAATTTATTTTCTCTCTTATTTTTGTTTTTAATTCTATAGATCTATTCTCTTTATCATTTCTTCTACCTACTTTATTTGAGTTGAATTTACACTTCTATGTTTCAGTTTCTTAAAGCTTAAGGTTAGACTATTGATTGAAGAATTTTGAGAAGGGCTGACTTTAAGTCAAAGCTAGAGAAAAAAGTAAAAATCAATTTAAAAAAAGAGACACTCCCCCATTACCTTTTATATTTAATAAATTCCTTTTCCAGATTCCTCTGGCCAAAGAAATGTGATTCCTCTTGAAGTTTTATCTGATCATTCTTTCATCACAGCTCTGTGAGGCACCTGCCCTCAGCTCAAAGCCACAATAGAATATTGAATAAGTAAAACGAAATGGGTAACTCACCCCTGTTATCCATTTCTTCATGTATTCACTTCCCTTCTGAATGCATCTGCTTATTATTTACTTTTCAGAGGCCTCAGATGGTTCTCCTTGTATTTTGTACAGATGTTTTAATTTTTATCATTGGGAAGGAAAGGCTTTCATTGGACTTACTCTAACCCAGCTGGGTTTAAGGGGTTAATCTCTTTTTTAAAAGATATCAAAAGGAAAAAAATACAGAGATATATTTATATTTGAGGATATATTTTTCATATTCTCTGCTCTTTATTTCTCTGTGTAGACTCTACTTTCCATTTGCTTTTATCCTAGAGAATGTCCTTTAGGATTTCCTAGTTTGGACATTCTGACATTGAATTCCTTTACCTTCCATTTATTACCATTTAAAAAATTATTTTAATACGTTTGTAAAGCTAGCATCTCTGGATATATAACTTAGGATTGATAGGTCTTTTTTTTTCTTTCTTTGGCTTTTTGAAGATTTCTTCTCCTGTATTTTGGCCTTCATTGTCTTTGAAAATAAATCAGCTAGCATTTGCATCATAGCTTTCCTCTTTAAAGTATCCTTCTCTGATTTTTGACTTTTTCTTTAACTTTGCTTTTCAGCACCATAATTATGATATTCCTATGCATGCTTTTCTTTGTATTCATCGTGCTGGAGGTGCAGTAAGGTTCATGAATCTCTAGGTTGTAAATAATTTTTACCATATTTGAGGATTTTTTTATTCATAAGTTTCTTGAATATTTTTTTCTGCTCTAATATGTATTCCTCTTTTTCTGAGACTCCAATTTCATGTAACTGTACTGTCTGATAATGTCCAACTGTCCCAACTGTCATGGTGGCTCTGTTTATTTGTTTTTCAGTTTATTTTTTCTGCTATTCATATTATATAACTTTCATTGATTTGTTTTATAGACCACTGACCCTTTACTCTGGTGTCTCCAATTCCATGTTAAGTTCATCCAGTGAGTTTTTCATTTCCCATATTTTATATTTCAGTTCTCAAATTTCAACTTAGTACATTTAAAATAGTTTTCATTTCTCTGCTGAGATTCCCCATATGTTCACTCAATATGACCACCCTTTTTCTTATGTCCTTGAACATATTTATAATAGATGTTTAAATTCCTTCCGCTAATTTCAACATCTGGGTAATTTTGACATCTGTTTCTATTGGTTCCTTCTCTTTTTTATTATGGGTCACATTTTGCTGCTTTTACTCATGTTTTTATGTTTATGCTCCACGTGGTTGATAATACATCATAGTGAGTTATAAAATACATTTTCTTACTTTAAAAATGTTGATTTTTTTGATAAGTTGATAAGTTATTTTGGGATCTTTATGCTTATTCAAGCAGTTTTACTCTTTGTAAGGATAGACCTATTTTAATTACACTACAGCACAGGGTGGCCAACTATGGCCAGATGGCAAAATTCAGTGCCCGTTTTTGCATAGCTCAGAGCTAAGAATATTTTTTACATTTATGAAGGCTTGTAAAAAAAGATGAATATGTGACAGACACAGGTAAAACTATTTGTTATCTGGCCCTTTACAGAAAATATTTTCCAAATCATGTTCTAAGGAATAGTATTTTCCCCACCATCAATATCTGGCTCTTTTGTTGTTGTTTTGTCTGAATACTGAAGAGGCTCAGTAAGATTCCTCCACCTAATTGGCTAGAAGTTATATGACCTCTGATATCTCAGTTCTGCTCTCAGCTCCTCAGCATCTTCTCTCTGCAAGGCCTGTGGAGTCTTACCCAGTGTGTACAGAGCTCAGCCCTCTGCCATAAATCTGTCACTGAATTCCACATGAAGATTCCTAGGTCACCCCTCAACCTTTCCTCACCCACTGTACAGATATCTCCTCTTGTCTCTCATGCTCTTCAGCCCCTTCAGCAGTCCTGACGTACGATCTCTGCTTTCTCAGCTCTGCAAGATGGCCAGCCTGCATGGGCCCCACCTCCCTCCCTGCACTGGGGAAAAGAGCCCCAGCCCGGCATCCTAGGTGAGCGCAGGACACAGCCTGCTTCCCAACAACTGGATGTATTTACTGTATAGAGTTTATCCAGTATATAGTTGTGTACAATAGGAGGGCAAGTCTGGTACCAGTTACTGCATTATTATGGACAGTAACAGGCATTCTCCCTGTATTTTATATATCCCTTCTCTTATTCCAGTCTCCCAGGCTCACTGCTTTTTACTTACCTGTTACATGAAACTTTTCTATTACAGGAAACATCAAACTTATTCTCACACCAGAGACTGTTTTGCTTACTCTTTTCTCTACCTGAAATGTGTTTCCTTTAATCCTGAGGAGGCTAGCACTTCTTATATCCCAGCTTAGCTATCACTATCTTAAAGACGTCTTCCTTAAATATTCTACCAGAATTGGCTTGCTTAACCCCTCCATCCCTTCAGACCTAGCCTTAACCTAGTCTATTACACCAAACTTCACATTATCTGCAGTACTTGTAGATAATATTCTTGTTGTTTGATTATTAGTTTCCTTGCGTATTATCTGCCCATCCTTCCATGTGAATGTAGGCTTTATTTGATCAAAGTATTTTCAACCTTGTTCACTGTAAGTTCTTAGCATCTAAAATATTACCTGAAACATAATAATCAAAAGCAGAACAATAATAAGAATGAATATTTATATAATACTTAAAACCTACCAGGTATGTAACTACAGGCACTTTTACACATAGTAACTTATTTAATTCTTGCCAAGATACCATGAGGTAGGTGCAGCTACTTCCCCTGTTTAAATATGAACAAACTGAGACAGAGAGAGGTTAAGAAATTTGCTGAGTCATAAAATGTCAGATGATGAAATTGGAATTCAATTTGAGGAACGTGAAAGATAGTAAAAACTGTATGCCTTATAAATAAATCTCCAAATTGTTTTATTAAATAATTATATGTATGCAATTTTTCCCTTTGCATAAAATTAGAAATAAAAATAGATGTTTTCTTTTACTTAGGAGAGGGTAAAAAGTGATTGGGGCGATAAATGCTTATTTTGTATTATGTACTTTACTATGAGCTTTTTCTAATTTTTTATAAGCACTATTGTGTATAGATTATGAATTAATTTCTATATTTTTAAACTTCTTTATTAATACAAACCTCATAAACTAATTTCTTGTATTCCTGCTGCCTCCAACCAGAAGATATACTAATTTCTCTTCTAAATAAAATGAAATGTAACTGGCCATTAAAACTGCCAATGAAAAGGAAAACTGCCAGGAAAAATTGGATTAAGCAAACACTAATTGAAACCAGAAAAGAAAGGTTGGTTGAAAAATAGGCCCACTATATCTTTTTATCATTACTCTCAAATATTTTCAAAATGGCAGGTGTCCTATACAAAATGCTCGTTTTAAAATACAACCGTATTGCAATATCAAATATGGAAACTTTTCACAGTATCATAAGTAGAACCCAATCACCTTTACCTTCTCTTATTCCAAGTCTTTCTCCCCAAAGTCTACCAGTGTTACTATTAGGAAATGACACAATAAAACTTTCATCATTAAATTTTAAAACATTTTAAAGTCAGAGGTGTTTCCACTTATAGATAGGGTCAAATAACTGGAGACAAGTGTTCCTATCAGACTAACAAGAGAAGCAGGAAAGAAAGAAAGAAACAAAAACCAGAAATAATTTATTAATGTATTTGAAGCTTCAGAGGCATGCTGAGAAAGCGGAGGTTTAAGACTTCAGAGTGAATAAACTAAAAGAAATAAAATGACTTCTGCAGCCACATTTTCCCAATGGTATTTTACAGAAGAAGGATATACCTCATTCTTGAAGTGTCCAGGATTAGGGCTCAGAGAAACTAACAGATTTTTTGGCAGAACTAGGGGCCTTAAATTTGTACTGTTTCCCATAGGACAATTGTCAAATTCAAAAGCAGGATAAAAAGGCAGAACAAAATAGACAGATTTAAAAAATATCTAAATGAAAACGCTTTGAAAAGTAAACTTTATTTGTTTTACCTAATATATCAATTTTCCAAAAATATTTCTTTTTAACTGTTCATAAAATTTAGAGAAAATGTGTTAGATGAAACAGTTTTAGCTGTTAGAAGATTTTTCTGAAGTTTTAATTTACTGGTTTTTATTTTGTCTTTAGAGATACATTATAGAACCATGCAATTTAATTAAAAACTAAGATTTCTGGGTATTTTTTATTGCTCTTTACTGGATTTTCAAAGTTTGATTTGCTTACAATGTTTTTCCTAATTTTTCTAATAGTATATTTTGCACGGTTATATATGTCCAGTAGTAGAAATGTCAGTGTGGTGAAAGTTGTTATAGTCATTATTACTGCTGTGACAAATTACAGCAAACTTAGTGGCTTAAACTACACAAATGTATTATCTTACATTTCTCTAATGTAATAAGTCTAATACAGGTCTCATTGGGCTAAAATTCAGGGCTGTATTTCTTTCCAGAGGTTCTAAGAGGGAATTTGTTTCTTTGCCCCTTTCATCTTCTAGTGGCTTACCATATTCCTTGTCCTATTGTGCCCTCTCCCCACACCTCTTCCAAACAAGTAAAGTTACATCCCTTCTGAGCATTCACTCTTGGAGCCTGTCTTCACTTGTAAAGACCCTTATAATTAGATCAGGCCCACACAGAAAATACAGGATAAGCCCCCTAATTTAGGTCAGTTGATTAGCAAGCTTAATTCCATCTGCAAACTTAATTTCCCTTTGTCATATAATCTGTCATAATCATAGGTTCTTGGGATTAAGATGTGTGTACCTGAAGAGGTTGGGGATGGAGTCATTATTTTGCCTACCACAGTTATTGAAATGTAGATCTATACAACTAGAGAACATAATGTATTTGAGACATTGGTGTAAGAATAGTAAAAAATAGTTAAAAACTGGAAGAATATAAAAATTGGTCTTCAAAATTATGTAAAACATTAAAAGCAGCTCAAACAATCTCACCTTTAGTAAAATACTTAAGTATTTGATTTTCTTTCTCTGGATTGTCCTGCTTCTTCACTGTAGGTCTTATGGACATGGAGAAAGGTACTTTGGATCAGATTTCCCTGAGTCTTTGGTCCTTGACTTGAATCCTAAGGGTTTACTAGGAGTTTTTTGGTCAGGGGAAAGGAGAAAATTCTGACCAGAGTCAACCAGGTGTGCAAAGCCAAATTGTCATTTTATCTTTGGGGAATGACACATAGTTCACTATGACTGGAAGGCAGATTAAGTATAATGCACTGACAGGGCATGAAGTTGGAAATATAGGCAAGAGTTTGATTACTTTTACCTAAGTTATGGTTATTGTATTACTTTTAGTGTATAGAATTCCCTTGAAGGATATTATAGTTGAGACTGACTTTAGAATGGAGGCGGTAGGAGATAATTATGATGGTCAGTTATAAGACCTGTGATTGTATGGGTGAAAATGACACATCATCAGAAAACTATCCATAGGTAAAAAGATTATGTAGAAAAACTGAGATATTTAGGAGTATAGTAAAAAAGACTTTCTCACAGATCATATATAAGGAGTAAGAGTGTCATGGTAATCCTCAAGGTTTTTAGCTATAATATTGCATTTCATCAAATAGGAAATAAGAGAGGAGATAGTTTTGGAGGGATATGATGGGCCATTTGGACAGATTGAATATGCATCATGCAAATAGAGATGTTCAGTAGAAGATCTGGAGGTCTTGAAGGAGACAGGGAAAAGACTCATGGATTGAGGATTCATGTCTACTTGGGTGGTACTAGAACCTATGGGAGCTGGTTAGGGAAAGAAGTGTAGGGATACTTAGTTTAAGATAAATGTGTCACTTGTGGTCATCAAAAGGTCTGATCACCCTAAACTGATGTAAAGAATTCTCTCTATATATGCATTATTTCGGGCAAAAACTTGTAACTTCCATGAGACTGTCAAAATGATCCACGGTCAGATTTATAAGATTTATAAGATACTTCTAGGGACAGAACATTAATTCTTAAAATGTAGTAAGAAAATGGAAATGGTAACTATAGCCTAGTTTTTCAGGATGTTCAATAGAAATAAAAAACATATAACTAAGACAACAGCTAGAGAAGTTTCAATGCCTAAGGTAGAAAGACATAGTAGAATTATGAGCTTCTCAGGCTGAGGAAAATGAGTACATAGAGAGGGAGACTAAAGGCTCAGGAAAGGGAGACTGAGGATTGTGAAAGAGAGTAAAATGTGATCAGGCCATGAGAAGATTGAGGGGCTAGAAAGGACATGGAAGAGAAATTACCTTTGCATGAGAAGTGGTGTACTTTTTTTCAAGGACAGAGAAAAACATGAAATGCTGTAGATATGCAGTTTCTCAGTGAGCTTATGTGTTTGTATTTGTGTATGTATGTGAGAATTTTGTTTCAGATGCCAGGAAGGTGCATGAGTCTACTGCGAATTTTGTAAAATTGGAAGCAGAGACATTTAAGAATAAGGAGAGTTAAAATTTTAATTTATATCAACTTAATAGAAAGTGAAGTCACCCAAGGTACTGCGATATAACTGCTAAGCAAAAATTACATCTATGTTTTCAAAGTAGAAAAAATAGAGTTGAGAAACAAATGCTTGTTTTTATCAAGCATTAAACTACATGTAAAAACATACAATATTTGCTCCCTATGTGTTTTTCTAAACATATCATTTTAGTTTCTCATTTATAGCAGTAAAAACACATACATGGTTTCTCTTTGCAAACTTGATGTTCACTGGGAAACAAACTGCAGATACAGGCATAGGGAATTAAATTGCTTTCACATAAAAAGTCCATGTTTCTGTTTTAATCAGAAATTTATGCAGTACCTTCTGCACTAGTATCATCTGCTCAGCACTCAAGCTGCCAGTTAAATATAATAGAGACTTCCCCAGAAATTCACTTCTACATAGAATCACATTTTCTAAAGTGGTTTTTGACATTGCATATAAAATCTCCATCTTCTACTTGTCTTATGTACAATTCCAAGTAGTTGCATAGGAAATATATGTGAAAGTAGCTTTTGTTCATTTAACTATTAATTCAGATGTCAGCCTGTTTGCCTACTTGGGAAATACAAAATGTGTTTGTCATTGGAACTGTTGAGATAGTTAGCATATAATCAGAGTCCCATAAGTAAACAGTTCTGGGAAGATACTAGGCTAGAATGAAGCCATCTCTACCTAAAAGACATAGTATAATGCAGACAATATAGATAAGATTCCATTTAACATGCATCCATGGCTTGCATATTGGTGATAAAGTCTGTAAATACAGCACTTAAATATAACATTTGTGTCTCTATCACATTTAAACCAATAATACTATCAAAGTCAGGAATTGGTAGACTATGGCCTGTGGGTCTAATTATTGTCTGATTTTGTCAAGAAGGTTTATTGGTTATTGGATTACAGCCACACGATCGTTTACATAATGTTTATGACTGCTTATGTGTTAGAATTGAGTAGTTGGGACAGAGACTTGATGGTCCACAAAGCCTCAATAAATTTTACAGACTAATTTTGCCAACCCCCAGTCTAAGAAATGGGACAGACATGCATATAAGCACATTGACATACCCAAGAGTGAAGCATATTAATATAGATTAAGATAAGAGCAAAGATTTGTAGAATACTTTACAAAAATTTTTGAATAACCAGTAGCATTATTCATTCTTACAAAAACTTATCAGGTATATATTATTGTTGTAACTGTTTCAAAGGTAAAGGCAAGTAGCCCACACCTGGAGTGTATGATTTCTGCTACTGGTAGCAGAAGTGTTGAAGTGAAACAGTTAAACTACACCACCAGGGTTTGAATCCAGGGTCCTGCAATTACTAATTACATGGCCCTGGGCAAGTTTCTTAACATCTCTCTTCATACAGAGTCTTCATCTGTAAACTGGGGATAACAAACCTTATCAGGTGGTTTGCTATGATGTGTGTTAATAATGAGAAGCTCTTGGAAAGATAATTTGAGAATGAAATACTGTATAGCAAATAATATCTATTCTTAGGGTCAATTGTCAGATCTTTTAATACTCAAATGGCTACACAGTCTTCCCATTACACCACATCTGCTTCTAAGCTCTGCATTTCAAGTTGTCTCACTCTCTGAGGTTGTTTTTGACACCAGATGTATTTTCTGCACATAGAGAAATATGTCTCAGTTATGTAAATGGGCAAAATCAAAACTTTGTTTTGGCCAAGTAGCAATTGTTCATTAAACATCTGTGGTATTTAAACAAATATAAAATTTTCAACTTGATTTATTTCTATTGTCACACAAGAAATGAAACCCGTGCTAAATTCACTAAAATATTTAATTATATTATTTTAAACAAGACTTAATAAATACATTTTTATTTGTCTGTGCTTTGGCAGACTTAAATAGCTATTTTATTCTTAACAAATAGTATGAGTACAAGCCTAACCTAAGTAAGTCTCCAGTTGCATTTTAAAGAAAAAAAATGAGTATTTGCCTGTTTCACTGGCTTTACGTATAGAAATTGCTAACTGCCTCTAAATCAGGATGATGCCTGTGCTTTCTCAGCATGAAAATATTAGATGATATGCAAATTAAGCTCAAAAGAGTCATAGCTTCATCTGTTTGCAGTGCAGACAAGGACTTATCTTAGTAAAATGCCATGTCAAACTCTAAATTTAGTGGTTTCTTTTGGCTCTAGAACTTGCATTACATTATATGCTAATGCATTCTTGAAAGTATTGGAGAGCTTAATATTGACACAGAGCAAGATTAGTCTGTGTCATAAATTACTTCACTAGTGACCCTTAGTGTCTTGGGGACTTTCCATTGTGAAGGTAAGAGATGTTTTCTGTAATATTTAATACTTGAAAAAGAGAATTAGTGATTCAGATTAACAAACATTCAATATATATAACTAGAGACAAATCCTATCGGAAAGGAAAAGAGAATGACCATTTACTTGGCCTTTATCATAGGTAATTCTAGGGGAAATACCACAAAAACTAAGTAATCCATTTAAATGACTAGTCCTAAGTAATTAAAATGATCTGTGATATAATTAAATGTGTAGTGAAATTTTAATTGGAAATTAGAGCACTGTGTATTAAGCACAAAAACAATTCATTCAACTTATATAAAGTTGATACTTTCTACAGTGCCATGTATAGAAATTGAATAGTAAATTTCAAAGAAACACTCTATTTTGAATTACTATTCATAACATTATTTCCATGGAGAGTCACATGCAAAAAATATGTAGAATTTACTCTTCTCGTCAGAAAAATCACTTGATTATCCACCTAGTCATTGTTGAACAAATACTATGGGCTTTTTTGCTGTGAAGAAAAAATTGCTGGAAAACATATTTCACTTTAGAATGCCATCATTTCAGTTGGGAAATCAAGGCATCTATCCACATAAAAAGTATCCAGAACACACAACACTCTTAAATCAGTGACATAGCAGGGCATTCTATTTAATATTGTTCTACAGAGCATGATGTCTTTAGTCATTAATATTTACTGAATACTTCCTAGTTTTAGAGATTATTCTGGGCACTTAAATAATTCCATCATGGAGAAGTGGGAAGTCCTAATGCTTAGGTTTATTCACATGTGCAGTGTAGGCTGCTGAGAACTAGTTGCCATCATAGTCAAGTCTTAGAAGTAACAATGGTTTGAAGTTAAGGCAATTATGTTGCTGTTTTAGTCTTATATTCTTCCCCATCCTAACTGCCAAGACTTAAGTTTTGTGAACATTAATTTTTATGAACTCTTTGTAACCCTACTGAAGAGGTGAATAATGATGGCATAGAATGAATCTTTGTATACTTTTTATTATAAGTAATAAAGAAGAAAGATTTTGCTTTGTTTTATTGACTGAGGAGTTATTTCCATTTCCCCTATAAAAAGTCCCTCTGTCCTTTAGAATATGCTATTAAGTAGTGTGTCAATTTGATGATTTAATTTTAAATACATCACTTTATAAGGATAAAACAACTAAAAGGACTGCCAAAATGACGCATTTTCATTTACAAATGTTTACCAATTACTTTACAACCCTAACTTACATATTTATAGAACTGACAAGAGTTTAGTGTATCTCTCTTTTTATTATTCAAGAAATCTGTCAAAGAAAGGTAATAATGCTGGATAGTATCTTACAACTTTAAAATTGAAATTATATTTTTGATGGATAATTTTGTTCATTATTGATCCACAATTAAGATTACTAATACTCACTAAAAAGTCGGTTATTTTCTTTTGTTTATCTCACCTAGTGCTAGAAAAACCCAAAACACTGAGAAAGAAATGGCAACTCTAAATGCAGGGTTGAGAAGATAACAGGACTTGTGAAATACATACAGATTACACACTTTTTGATGGAAAAACTTTTTGTGTAGTTGTTATAGACTCCCAGGAAAGGATATTCATTACAGTAGAAATTTGATGAATGGGTCAAATATTTGTAGAGCATTCTAAAATTTAAGGTCAATATTGTAAAGGCCTTGAAAATTTGCATTATCTAGGCTATACAAAAACTGAATTGAAAATAAAAACAGCAGTATATTCCATTAGAAGAATAATGAACACCTTCCCAAGGCTTGTTTTGATAACCTTCTCTGGTCATTGTCCCCACAGTCCATTGTGTAGAATAAATGGTAATTTACTAAAGCAGAGAGCTTTTCTTGGCATTCTTTGACTCTAAAGATGTCCTAAGCAAGAAACAAAGCTTGTCACGATACGGTACACATCAGCCTCTCTGTAGATTGGCCAGGCTACCACCATTGCAAATATGTCTTGTGCTGCTTTCTAAGAAATTGCGACCCTTTGTAGAACATACAGATTTTTTCATTTTTTGCCTTCTTCGGGGCTAAGTGAAATACTAGCTAAGCAAACTAACCTATATATGTAAGTATGACTGAACAGTTGAAAATCTATTAATAATACAATTCAGCAGAACAGTGCTAAGAAAGAAACTACATATTATCGTCAATTATCACGTTCATAAATGAATCAAGCACTGGATACAATTAAATACTCATTTCTATTTTTAAAAGTTAATAATAAGAGAAATACACAGATGTTTTTCTAAACATATTTTACTGTAGAGGACAAGGGAAAGTTTTTCCTCTGCCCCCTGAAGGCTCACTGAAAATGAATTGACAACAGGCCGATTCATAGGTAAAAAAAGCACACAAATTGGTTTAACATACATAAGCACTGGAGAATCACAGGAGAGTGATTACTAAATAATTCAATGAGGTACAGATGTTTATATATCTTTGTTCATAAAGGAAGAAAGATGGGAAATTGTGACCATTCTGAAGGGTGGTAAATGACGTGCAGGGGGAATGTTTGAGGCCCAATACTTAGACAATATTTAATAAATGATTCTCTCTGGGAATTGAATAGGAGTGGAGAACAGACTACAGTTTGGGACAAGGATTGTCTGTTCTGTACGTGTAGTATTTAATTTTCAATCTCTTCCTCCGTGGTGTGAGTTTTAATCGCCTCTGGTTAATGACATTTGAGGGAAAGAATAGAAGGCAATTGTGTTCTTTGGCAGGTCCAGTTTCTGGGTTGATAGGTTGATAAGGGAGCTTCAGAGAAGAGTCTCACTGTGTGCTTTGAGCGAGACAAAGATTGAGAGAGGGCAGAGGGCAAGGTCAAAAAGACTTTGAAGCTGCTTCTTTAGTTCAGCATGTCGAGGGACCATATTTTGGGGTATCATTTCCCAAGCACCAATAATGCATATACCTATATATGCACATACGTATACATACACACACACACGCACACCTCTAAAACTGTGACCATCAGTATTGATAGTTGAATGCTAAAGCATGTATCCATAGTAATGTTTGAATGTAAAGGCATAAATCTTTAAAATCAGAACAAATTTTTTTTAACTCTACTTCTGAGGCAGGAGAACAGGGTCTGGGGGCAGGGAACCTAAGAACTTTCTAGAACAAAATCAAACAGAAAAACCTCAACTTTCTAAGACCAAGTAAATAACTTTGTAACTCTACTTCAGCTATGACAGGAAACATCCAGTTCATTTGCATAGGGTGTACCTCAAGTAAATAACTATGCAACTTTGTAGCCTCTTCATTTACATAGGGCATAAGCCAAATAACCAATGGGGAGTCTCTGGAGGATATTTAAACCCCAGAAAATTCTGTGACTGGGCCCTTGAGCCGCTTGCTTGACCTGCTGCCACCCTGTGGAGTGTCCTTTCATTTTCAGTAAATCTCTGCTTTTGTTGCTTCATTCTTCCCTTGCTTTGTTTGGGCGTCTTGTCCAATTCTTTGTTCAAAACGCCAAGAGCCTGAACACCCTCAACCGGTAACACTTTTACAGTAGGAAAAGTTTAAGTACATCATATTTGATAGGCACATTAACTTTAATGTAAATTATTTTGTGGATATGTATTGAATAGTAGTCTTTGATAATCCAGATACTTTACAAATAATGACTCTCCAAGGGGTTTTTTAGATTCTGACCTAGATACTTTGATCAGACAAGCAGATAACAGTAGTATTTCACTTTGAGTGGAACTTTGTAAATAAATGAACACTCTCTCTCATGTCCTATGCTATTTATAAATTGTGCATTAGCTTAAGTAGTCAGTGGATGTCAGCATTGTTGTACTAAAATCTGCTTGCCAGTATTATTTTTGACTTGCAAGTTTATAATTCTTAAGTCTTACCAAAAGTAATTTTCTCTATTGTTTTGATCTGAGAAACAAAGGAAAAATGTATATGATAAAACACAAAGGCCTCTTAGAAAATGAATAAGTTATCTTTAAATATAGTCATATCTATTATGTATGATTTATGACATTTGAGGCAAAACAAATATCTATTGATAAAAAAAACTAATCCTTTTTGTCACCAATATGCCACAGCTTGACCAGGACAGACCTCCTTATAGGAAAGGTGGAAGCAAAAAGTGTTTCTCTCTTTCTTTTTTAGAGAAGTGGAAAGATAGCTTTATTCTTAGCATATGCAATGATATTTTAATAAATTTTTAATTGCAGCTTACCATAGTTTTTATTTTAAAACATAAAAGTACTTTTAAAATAGTTGCATTGAGTTAGTTGTTTTACACATATAAACTATACGGGAATCAGGATGAAGTGATTCGACAGAGATTCTGTTAGTTATTTTGGATTATATATGACTCATAGCATCCAGGTTTCATCCATGCCTTCATTATGCAGTGAGAAATTTGTCTTCATTTCACTGTAATATGTACAGAAATCTCCCCAACGAAAGGAAATACACACCCTGATGCACCACATGACCTCCCATCTATAATCCCCTTTATTTGCTGCATTTGGCAGGAGAATGCTGAGAGAAAAGGTGCCTCTGAGCCCATAGAACATGTTCAAAGCAGAGCTCTTACCCGAAGCAAGAGAGAAAGACCACAGCAGGTAACATCACAGCCACTGGCAGAGCCTGTGATCCAGGCCTGTGGACCTCCACATCATTCCATGAAAGTGACATTTGAAGATAATACCTTGATCAAACACTAAAATGCAAAGAACCAGTAATAATTATCCTGAAACATAAAGATGTATGGATCAGGGCAATACACCATTCATAGTAGAAGAGCAGAGTGGATCTGGGCGATTTTCACATCTGCATTGGTTAAAGGTTTATCAATATCTTATTGAAGGAAACCAAAGTCCAATTTGAGAAATCACTGCATTCCCTTTGAAATGAATTACACATATGTACATTAAAAAACAGTATCTCACGTTTGTTTATTATTATCTTAATTATCTGCCATTTGGATTTAAGATATTGATGCTAAAGTGGGAAAAACCAGTGACATAGAGGACACTTAAAGCAATGGTTCCCAAACCTTTTTGTCTAAGAATATTTAAACTCTTAAAAAAAATTAAGGACCCTAAAGAGCTTATGTGTGCATGAATTTTAGCTATGAATATTTGCCAATTTAGAAATTAAAACTAACAATATTAAAAGAAATAATTTATTAATTTATTTAACACTAAAAATAAATTCATTACATTTTAACATAAAACATGTTTTAAATAAATATATTTTCCAAAATCAAAAAATCAGTAAGAAGTGTCATTTCTTACTTTTTTGAAAATCTCTGTTTTAGCTGGCTTAATAGAAGACAGCAAGATTCTTCTATCTGCTTCTTCATTCAATCAGTTGTGGCATGTCATATCGGTTGGTATATGTGGAGAAAATCCTTTATCACACAGACATGTAATTAGAAAAGGGAGGAACATTTTAATAGCCATCTCAGATAATTATGAATATTCTTCTTTTGTATGACATCAAAACTTGAACAAATTGTAGTTCTTAAAAGGCAGTTTCAATACAGAATTCAGAACTGTATAGCTACACTTTTTCTACTGTTTTGGGGTCTTGCATTAAAATTCATTTTAATCTATCTTACACAATGAATGGATATTTTACTCATGATGATTTTGTAACATGCATTGGTCATTTAGGAAATACTTGTTCAACGGGTTATCCAGCTTTTCCAAATATTGACACACTTTAAATAATATCAAAAATCGTATTTGTTAATAAAAGCACAGACCTCAGTAGAAAAGTCTTTATGCATTGGAAACCTATCAAGCTTATGGTGGCAGATATGTTTTCCATAATTCTGGAGCATATACAGATTAGAATATCTCAGCTTTTATCATTAGCCATTTTCTAGTGGTTTTTTATTTTTATTTTTTAATTATACTTTAAGTTCTGGGATACATGTGCAGAACGTGCAGGTTTGTTACATAGGTATACACGTGCCATGGTGGTTTTCTGCACCCATCAACCCGTCATCTACATTAGGTATTTCTCCTAATGCTATCCATCCCCTAGTCTCCCATACCCTGACAGGCCCCACTGTGTGATGTTCCCTTCCCTGTGTCCCTGTGTTCTTATTGTTCAACTCCCACTTATGAGTGAGAACTTGCATTGTTTGGTTTACTGTTCCTGTGTTAATTTGCTGGTTTCCAGCTTCATCCATGTCCTTGCAAAGGACATGAGCTCATCTTTTTTTATATCTGCATAGTATTCCATGGTGTATATGTGCCACGTTTTCTTTATCCAGTCTACTATTGATGGTCATTTGGGTTGGTTCCAAGTCTTTGCTATTGTGAACAGTGCTGCAATAAACATACATGTGCATGTATCTTTATAGTAGAATGATTATAATTCTTTGGGTAATGGGATTGCTGGGTCAAATGGTATTTCTGATTCTAGATCCTTGAGGAAGTCAGGAAACAACAGATGCTAGAGAGGATATGGAGAAATAGGAACGCTTTTACCCTGTTGGTGGGAGTGTAAATTAGTTCAACCAGTGTGGAAGACAGTGTGGTGATCATTAGCCATTTTTAAGTAAAGTGTTCACATTATTCATTTCTGAAATAATGTCGATCAAATACCCAATACTGAATAGCCATAATTTGTGTATGTCATTCTTTCAATTTAAATAATGTTCTAAAAGAACATTTAATTCAATTGCTTACAACTTAAATAATTATATAGATTTTTATTTTTTTTTATTTTTGTTATTGTTCCTTTGAAATAACTGTCTCACATTGGTATGCAGCAGAAGAGCTTGATGTGGACTGCTTTGTTAGCCATCTAGGGGTTCTCCGCTGAGCCCATGTGACTCAAAATTGGACCTTGTCCATTGGATGATTTCTGCAAAAACAGCAGAATAAATAGCTCCAAGAGGTTGTCTCTCCACAGAAATATCAAAAATCAGAGATTCTATGACCTTCAAAGCTTAAGGTAGTCATGATTTGGTTTTCACAGAAAAAGTTGCTGACCTCTGAATTTGATCATTAGATTCATAGACATGATGCACCTTAACAACGTAACATGGCTTAGTTCAAAATGCCCAAGAGAAGTAGATTTGAAATAACTTCATGGTATTTATCCAGTCTCACTCTGTCGCCCAGGCTGGAGTACAATGGTGTGATCTCAGCTCACTCCAACCTCCGACTCCCGGGTTCAGGCAATTCTCCTGCCTCAGCCTCCTGAGTAGCTGGGATTACAGGCATCCACCATCATGCCCGGCTGATTTTTTTTTGTATTTTTGTAGAGACGAGGTTTCACCATGTTGGCCAGGCTGGTCTCGAACACCCGACCTCAGGTGATCCACTTGCCCTGGCCTACCAAAGTGCTGGGATTACAGGTGTTAGCCACCGCACCCAGCTGAACCTTTTGCTTTTAACACGATAGTAAAATTCTGGTTACTTTGACAATGCCTGCACACCACTCTGTAGCCTAAAAAAATTGTGATTTCGAAGCCAATTAACCTCATTCCTGATAATAATTAAAAATAAATAGACTCTATAATATTTAGTAACTGTCAAGCACTAAGTAATTATTATGAGTGATCCATCAAGGCAACTGTCGAACAGCTCATCCTGTTGACTGCAGGCAAATTTCTTACTAATAAAGTAATGAAAATCCATACTTTCCTGAGTTTACACACAGCAAATGATGCAAACATAGATCCAATCTTTGAGCTGTCTACTGAGGGCACAGAAAATGACATAGATTATTCCTACTCATTTTAAAACTTAAGGTTCATTTTGTCTTGCAAATGCAAACAAACAAAAACAAAAAAACAAAAATCTTACTTGACTGTGATGTTTAAAAACGTAAACACATGTATGAACAAATTCCTATCGTTTCTGTGCTTGGCCGGCCTCAGCTCTGTTTTATTATAATCTGTACAGCTCTTTAATTATTTTAAGCTCTATGTGAGTGTTAAGGAGTGAAATTTGTGTCCCCCAAATATTCACATATTGAAATACTAACCACCACTGTGATGGTATTAGAAAGTGGGGCTTTTGAGAAGTAATTAGATTGTGAGGTAGATCTATCATGAATGGGATTAGCACCCTTATTAGATGAAATAAGATAGCTTTCTCTTTCTTTTCTCTGCCATGTGAGGATACAGCAAGAAGACATCCATTTGAAAAAGAGGAAGCATGTCCCCACCAGACACTTGATCTGTCAGGGCTTTTGTCTTGGCTTTTCTAGCCTCCAGAACTGTGAGAAATTCATTTCAACTTTTTAAGCCACCCATTCTGTGGTATTCTGTTGTAGCAGTCTGAGCTAAGACACTGACATAGAAACTAAAGCACAAACTCTTCGAGTTCTGAGCTTTCTGCCCCTACATAGTTAAATTATCTATATTCCTGACAGCTTTCCTGGTCAGAGCTTTCTTTTATAATGGATTTTAAAATGAATTGCTGCCAGTAGAGCAGACTATCAATTTAAA
Source organism: Homo sapiens (assembly GCF_000001405.40). Taxonomy (NCBI): domain Eukaryota; kingdom Metazoa; phylum Chordata; class Mammalia; order Primates; family Hominidae; genus Homo; species Homo sapiens. Next base: position 52,149,896 of record NC_000002.12, read on the forward strand.
TGTATCTATAGGTACTATGAAATACAACTCTTACTTGGTTTGTCAAAATACCTCCATATAGACAGGAAACAGCATAATATGATATAATTAATAGATAATTTGTTTTGTGGACAATTTAGTGAGTAATCTTTCTCCCTGTATTTACTAAACCTAAAGAGTAGGCCAAAATATCTCAACGTAGGTAGAGACATAAATTATTCTAAGGGATAATTAAATATCTTCTTCTGTATATAATCATTAAATTATATTTTACAGAGGAAATATTAACGTAGGAAATATTTGCAAGGCTTTTGTTTTTCAATTTAGAAATTTTGTGTTCCAGGACACTGCTAATAGAGTTTTAAACTTCATCTTCACAATTTCCTAAATAATATAGACTAGACAGATGCTAATATATATGATGGCTCATTATCGTTTGAAATAAGTTATATTTCCTTAAGTACCTGAAATAAGAATGGATAATGATCATTATGGAGCAAATTCAAAAAAAAAAAAAAGTAGGATAAAGAACACTGCAAATTATATCAACTTGAACTTCAAATATTGTATGTAATGAAGCAACTTCAATTTACGGTTCGATAACAGGGTCTTTCTGCCATTACATAAAATTTACACCTATGGATGTGTAAGCTAGAGTGTGATGCATGTATTAAATGGTTAAATATTTCATTTATCAATGCCATTCTTGGCAGTAAATTCTTCACTGCTGAAGAATCATCAACACAATGTTATAAAAGCATAAATTATATTTATAATGAACTTAAGGCTTTATCTAAAACATCTTAGACACAAGTATATATTAATTTTAAAAATCTTCAGAAGAGATAATTCTATATATTCCTTTCCCAACTTCTAGATTATAGACTCCTCATTCTGCATAAATTAACTGCATTAAGTTTTACTTTATGTATTAGTCTGTTCTCATGCTGTTAATAAAGACATATCCAAGACTGGGTAATTTATAAAGGAAAGAGGCTTAATTGACTCACAGTTCTATAGGGCTGGGAAGCATCAGGAAACTTCCAATCATGGCAGAAGATGAAGCAAACACATAGCAGCAGCAAGGAGAAGTGCAGAGCAAAGTGGGGGAAAGCCCCTTATAAAACCACCAGATCTTATGAGAACCGACTTGCTATCATGAGAACAGCATGGAGGTAACCAACCCCATGAGTCAATGACCTCCCACTGGGTCATTCCCATGACACATGGGGATTATGGGAACTACAGTTCTGGGTGAGGACACAGTCAAATCATATCAATTTATCTGTATGACATGTGGTATCCTCTTATCCTGTCCTCAGGGAAATAGAGGTATTGGTCAAAATAGATCAGTATTTAATAGGAAGTCATAATATGTTTCCCTATAAAATTTAACTTATAATTCTAAGAATTTCACTTAGTTTATCTCCCTCGTCTAGCTCAAATGTCATCTTCTCTATAATATCCACTGTAAATATTTTGCCTTTACCATGCAATTATAAACAGATTATTTTGGTGTCCTGCCCAGTTATTTCATGTCTGTCTTTACTTGTCATACCAATCAAGGACTATGTGTTTTATATTTTGGTAGCACTTACATAATTGCAAGGAAAATATATCAAACTAGTTGTCATGTTTAAAATATGGACTTTTAAAATAAAATCATCAAAGCAGGAGGCTACAAAGTCAACACATAATAGTTACATTTTAATACACTAAGAATGAAAGAAATTAAGAAAGCAATCCCATTTACAATAGTATCAAAAAGAATAAAATACTTAGGAATTAAGCAAGGAATTGGAAAACTCCTACACTAAAAATTACAAAACATTGCTGAAAGAAATTGAAGAAGACGTAATGGAAAGACTTTCACATTCATGAAGTAGAAGAAAATATTGTAAGATGTCAGTGCTACCCAAGATGATCTAAAATTCAATATGATCCCTATAAAAATCCCAATGATGTCATTTGCAGAAGTTGGAACAAAAATACTAAAATGTTATGAAATCTCAAGGTATCCTGAACTCTTTTTCACAAAGTTCTTTTTGGAGCAAAAAGAACAAAGCTGAAGATCTCACATTTCCTGATTTCAAACTTCCTAAAAGTCTACAGTAATAAAAAGAGTGGGGTACCGGCATAAAAGCAGACATACATACCTCCATAGAGAGTCCCAAAATAAACCCTCATACGTATGGTCAAGAGATTTTCAACAAGGGTGCCAAGATCATACAGTGGGAAAAGAAGAGTCTTTTCAACAAATGGTGCTGAGAAAACTGGATATTAAAAAAAAAAAAGATCAAAAGTATAAATGTAAACCTAACATTATAAAACTCTTAGAAGAAAACAGAGGACAAAGCTTTACAACCTTGGGTATGGCACTGATTTCTTTGATATGACAACAAAGGCATATGCAAGAAAAGAAAAAAATTAACAAATTGGACTTTATACAAATTTTGAAAACTTCTGCATCAAAAGACACTATCAAAACACTAAAAACCAACCCACTGAATGGGAGAAATTATTTGTAAATTATATACCTGATAGGGATTAATATCCAGAATATATGGAGACACAAAATACAATCTGATTCAAAAATGGTCGAAGGACTTGAACAGACATTTCTTCCATAGAAGATATTCAAACAACTAAGTGCATGAAAAGGTACTCAACACCACTAATCATTAGGTAAATGCAAATCAAAACTACAATGAGCTACCACCTCACCCCCATTATGATGGCCACTATTAAAAAAAATAGAAAATAACAAATGTTGGTGAGGCTGTGGAAAAATTCAAACTCTCGTGAAGTGTTGGTGGAAATGTAAAATGGTACATCCACTCTGAAAACAGTGTGGTGGTTCCTCAAAAATAAAATAAAAATAGAAATACCATATTATCCAAAAATGTTATTTCTGGGTATACACCCAAAGAATTAAAATCAAGGTTTCAAAGAGATATTTGTACAGTCTGTTAAAGCAGCATTTTTCACAATAGGTAAAAGATGGAAGCAAACCAAGCGTTTATGCATGCGTAAGTGAATAAGTAAAATAAATGTTCAATATAAAAACACTGGAATATTATTCAGCCTTAAAAAGGAAGGAAATTCTGACATTATTCACCAAAGTGGATGAATCTTGAGGATATTATGCTAAGTGAATTAAGCCAGTCACAAAAAGACAAATACTGTATAATTCTACTTACATTAGGTATTTAGAGTAGTCAAAATCAGAGAGACAAAGTAGAATTATGGTTTCCTGAGGCTGGTGGGAAGGAGAAATGAGGAGTTGTTATTTCTGGGGTATAGAATTCCAGTTTTACAAGAAGAAAACAGTTTTGAAGATGAATCATGGTGATAATTGTACAATACAAAGGTATTTAATGCCACTGAATTGTGCACTACAAATACTTAAGATGGAAATTTTATATTTTGTGTATTTTACCATAGTAAAAAAATTGAAGGAAAAGAAAGTCAATCCCCCATATTAATATTATTAACTATTTATCTAAAGCAATGGCTATCAAACTTGAATGTACATCAAACTCACTTGGAGGGCTTTTCATAAAGCATTGCTTGGTCTAACCTGGAGAGTTTCTGATTCAGAAGGTGAGGGTAAAACCTCAGCACTGGTGCTTCTAACAAGTGTTCAGGTGAAGCTGGTGCTGCTGGTCAAAGGACCATGGATCTAAATGAATGATACATTCTAGAAGAAATTCCAGTTTAAAAATAGAATAGTGTCAGGAAGGAAACATTTTAACGTTTCTACATGGATAGGACTTTCTGAGGATAGAAAACTGGAATCTGGGCTTATGAGAATTTGAAGTTAATAGTAATTAGACCATCAGAAGAAATACACCTGCTCAGTGGGATATGTTTACTTTTCAGAGAAAAAAATTGGAGCTGTGAAGGTATTCCAGGAGTCATAAATTCAGAGAGGCTAGACTTATTTTTCCCCTGGAAATAGTGATTTTATATTTGAAAGGATAAGAATCCTGGATATTTTCCTTTTTTATCCTAAGGGGTAATTTTTTTATCTTAGGAAGATATGTTTCTCTCCCTCTCTCAAGAGGGAAGTATGACTGTTGCATTAGTTGTCCTGTATAACCATCAGTGTTCTTCACCTGTAGTATAGACTCTAGTGTGTATATATATATACATATGTATATATAGTGTATATATAGTGTGTATATAGTGTGTATATATATATTGTGTGTATATATATATATAGTGTGCATATATATATAGTGTGTGCATATATATATATATATATAGTGTGTGTATATATATGTGGTATAGACTCTAGTGTATGTGTGTATATATATATATGTGGGATCTTATCTGATTCTCATTGTGTTTCCCCGAGAAAGGCAAAATTGGAGTGTGGGGAACGAGTGTGCCTCTTGCTGTAAATAAATGATAGTAAATCTCTGCCTGTCTCAGAAAACTCATGTCATGTCTTACAGGAAAAAAATACTGATATAAAACATTATCAAATACATTATCATATGTACAATTTTTGAAGCCAGTGTTTTCTACAATCAAGCATCTCACTTTTAGGTATTTACCCAAATGAATACAAAATTTATGTCTGCACAAAAAAACTGCAAATAAATGTTTATAGAAGCTCTATTTATAATTGCCAAAACTTGGAAGCATGCAAGATGTCCTTTAATAGGCAAATAGAACAGCAAACTGTTGTACATTTGTACAGTAAGATATCATTCTGTGATTAAAAAATGAGTTATTAATTACAAAAAGATGTTGAGGAGACTTAAATACACATTGCTAAGCAAAAGAAGCCTATCTGAAAAGGATTTTTACCATACTGTCCGACTGTATGACATTCTGAAAAAGACAAAATTAAGACAACCAATGGTTGTCAGGAGTTTGAAGGATGGAGGGAAGATAAAATAATGGAACACAGCAGATTTTTAGGACAGATAAACTATTCTGCATAATCCTGTAATGGCGGTACATGTCATTACACATTAGGCAAAATGAGTAGAATGTCCAAAAGGAGTGAATCCTAGTATGTTATAGAGGTATTTAATAATGTATCAATTTGGCTTATCAATTGTAGCAAATGCATCACAATAACGTCAGATGTTAATAACAGAGGAAACTGGAGTGTTGTGGGTGTAGGTTAGGGGAAAAAAGAGTGGAGGATATGGGAACTCTGAATTTTCCACTGAGTTTTTCTATAAACATAAAAATACTCCAACAAAACAAACAAATGAAACCACTCCAACAAAGTTTATTAATTTAAAAATGAAAATACAACAGATTAATCCTTTCTATTTCTAATTAAAATCATTTTAAATTGGAATAAAAGCCACCACGAATAACAGTTTTTTAGTTTTTTGTTTGTATATGCTGGCTTCTCAGCCCTTTGAAAATATTTTTTCTTCTGTCAGAATTTTTTTGGCTCCAATCACTTTTGTGTTCTATTTTAATTTTTCCAATAACAATAAAACAATCATACTTCTATGTTTCTCCTTCTTTTCTAATACAATTGTCAAGAGCAAGTGGATTAATTTGTATAAAATATATATTTATACATTTATTTATAAGTATATAGTTTATAAATAATTTAATTATACTACAATTAAATATATTTATATATGTATATAATATATATGTATGTATTATATACATGTATAATTTATATATATAAATTATAAAGACTCACAACTTCTGCTTTTGCTGTGGCAGTTAAAAGCCAACAACAGAAGTGAAAATAAACCTCTTGGCACAATACAAAAGTCAGTGAATACTATTAAAGTAAAAAAATCAGTGTAGTTCCTAATTGCTAATGCCTAAGGCCTGAATAAGTGTGTTTTATGCATATCAAAAATCCTTTTTCCCTCGGTTTTGTTTCCTAAGTTCAATGTTTGGGAATACATAATACAGTACCTAATGCTTTTCTCTTTTCAACTTACTTTCTAAATTAATTTAAAGATAGACACAAGATACAGACAAACGGGCCGGGCGCGGTGGCTCACGCCTGTAATCCCAGCACTTTGGGAGGCCGAGGCGGGCGGATCACGAGGTCAGGAGATCGAGACCATCCCGGCTAAAACGGTGAAACCCCGTCTCTACTAAAAATACAAAAAAATTAGCCGGGCGTAGTGGCGGGCGCCTGTAGTCCCAGCTACTTGGGAGGCTGAGGCAGGAGAATGGCGTGAACCCGGGAGGCAGAGCTTGCAGTGAGCCGAGATCCCGCCACTGCACTCCAGCCTGGGCGACAGAGCGAGACTCCGTCTCAAAAAAAAAAAAAAAAAAAAAAAAAAAAAGATACAGACAAACGTTAGTTTTTAAAAATCGCCTTTATTATTGATGACAAATGTTGGAGGGTATAACTTAGGCATGTGTATTCAGAAAAAATGCATAAGACTTTCTTAGGCTATCATTCAAGGTCTTAGAAGGAAATAAAATTTGCCACATATGGTTCAAATAAAAATACTTTTATAAGTGACTTCTTAAAGGGAGATGTGGAGTTAAAAGGACAAATGATATTGAGAAACCTAGGGACAAAAATGTGTTGAAAGTAATTGCCAACATTTGGGGTGACGAAGCCGAGGGAAGAAATAGTGAAGCTGGAGCTCACTGGGAGTTAGAGCCACAGGGAAAGGTTTCCTGGTGGGAGCTGTAGTCACAGAGCAATGACTCTATGACCAGAGATGGACTTCCCCCCTCAAGCCCACAGGTATCTCTTCTCTACAAGGGTTTTCTCAACCACCACACCCAGGAGCTTGCTGAGGCAGACAGACATGGCTCTGAATAAAGTCAGGAAGTGGGAAAGGGAACACAGAGTTATGTAATCAGAGCCAGCTTAAACATAATAGAAAAGGGAGTCAGTATTTGTGTCCTCTGAGGAAAGGATTTTTACACATGTTCCATATGGTTTCTCAAGGTTGATTCTTACTTGCTTCTGGTGGCACTACACTAGAATTGCCAGATTAAGTAAATAAAAATACAGGGTGTCCACTTAAAATTGAATTTTAGACATGCAGTAAATAATTTTTAGGTTAATATGTCTCTTGCAAAATTTGGCATGTACTTATATGTAAAAAAAAGTATTTGCTGTTTATTTAAAATTTAAATTTACCTGGGTGCCTTGTATTTTATCTGGCAAGCCTCTACCACACTCAATAACCCTTATCCCATAATCCAATATGTGCCTCCTGAGTTCACCTTTCAAATAAATAGGTACTCAATTCATCATTTCAAGGTTTGGTTTTGGGAAAATGTTTTGCATGTGAACCTGATACAGTAAATGAAGCATTAGAAAATTTAGGAAAAATATTACAGTAAGACTTGGAGGAAGAAGCGATCAGTTAAAACTAGGTAAATATACCTTTGGTGACTATATTCCCTATGAAATAAAGAAGCAAACTAATGATGAGCAATTCCGCAGTGAGCTGATGCTGCCTTACCATTGATTAGAGGAATGAGAGTATTCTCTGACTGTAAAGATTGCTGGTTTAACAAAGGCTCATTGGTACCATTTTACCTAATTTTGATAATTAAAGAGAGCAAGAGCAAAGACTTGGAAACAGAAATCACAGTAGAGAGTAGATGTTCAAACTTCTTGTATAGGGAAAAAAATCCTGGAAGAGGGGTAAAAATAGCAACTGGTGGCAGGGCATGTCATCTCACAAAACCTCCTAGGAGAGATTTGAAGCCATCTGCTGATTTCATACTATAATGGCTCACGGTGGTAAGCAATGGATCCTTTTGAGTGTTTGTTTGTTTTTGTTTCTTTTAGTTTAAATATTGAGGCTCAATTTGCATTATTTCTTAGATGCTTTAACAAAAATATTCCATAATATTTTTGGCAGAATAAGAGCAGACATTTATAAAAGGGGAAAGAAGTTGTGGCAATATAAATATTGGTAATGTTATATATGTTTTGTGAGATATGATATTTATTCTCAGGTCAGAATGCATCAGTGGTATAAATATTAGGAACAGGAAACCCAGCCATTACTGCTCAAGTGACTAAGGTACAGCAAAATACACACTTAACCAAGTTCTAATTGAACCTGCTAACTGGGAACCTCTAGAGTTACTGAAGTAGAGAACTGTGATAAAATTCAAATAGCTCTGACTCCCTGGAGAACAAGAGGATATTGGATTTTTTCATTAAAGAAATGATGCATGCAGGTGTATAGATACCTTCAAACTCTTCATATAATAGGCCTGTCTGTCCTGTAAAATCAACAACTGATAGGACTTGGTGACTCTCAATGCTCAAGAAAGTCATTTTCTAATTGCATCATTGTCACAGTCACTATGGGAGAAGAAATTCAGTAAGGTGGAGGGAAGTTGCACAAGCTACTCTCTCACTAATACTTTCTTTTCCATTCACTTTTTCCCGCAATATTTATATCCATAAATAAATTGTTTTATATAAGAAGAAATGAAATATATTTTTGCCATGATTTCCCACAATATGTTAATGCCCCTGCTTTTTGTCCTAATGTAATAAAAAATTACTGTAAAATTACTACAGCTAAAATTAATTACATCGATTTACTATTGTATAAAACAATTTTTAAGGAAGAGTGCATTCTTAATTAGAGAAGATGTTATTAAACATGATGTCCCTATGTTGGCTGATAAATAATTGTATCAGCCAGAAAATACTACAGAAAAGTTTAATTTCTATATTTTTGTGAGATAAGGGTGTTGGCTGAAGAGAGCTCTGTTGTTTTGGTTTTCTGGCATGATCCAGAAGAAGATTGGCATTTGCAGTATGGGACACAATTGACTAATATATCTCACTACTTGCCTTATGAATGACAATTATCTCAGCTTTACCATTTATTGGCTCTGAGATCATGGGAAAGTTATTTTCCTCTTTGTGCTTTAGTTTCCTCATGCATAAAATGAGGATAATATAGTCACTGAGTTTGTTATGAGCAACAACTAATTTATACATTTAAAGAGTTGAAAAGTGACTGGTGGCTAAGAAATGCTTACTAAATATCATCTAATTCTAGTTCTTTTTCAGATTGTATAAATCTTTTGCCTTTTACTAAAGAAATGGTCAGCAAATATTAGCGACTGCATTGCTTTGGGGTACTGGTCAGCACTGAACTCACCAAAGAGAGCTGTTAAATAACTGAAAAGAAAGATTCCAGTAAAATACTATGTCAAGAAGGAGAAAGAGAACAAGAGCGAGAGAAAGAGAAAGAGAGAGAGAGAGAGAGAGAGAGAGAGAGAGAATTCCTACTAATAAAGGAGAAGCTAAAAAATTTTACCAATTAAATATAAATATGTAAATTATACACTCGGGAACATGAAAAATGAATAAGGCTGGATCTGAACATATCTCTAAATCCACAGGCAAGACACAGATGCTTCCCTAGTCTGACTAAATCTCTAGACAATTTATTTCCAGAAATAATGTATGAGGACTATGATTTTAAAAAATACATTTTAGGTGGGGGAGGATGAGTAGGAAGTCAGTTTGATTGAAATGTAATTTATATACAATAACATTCTTCATTTTTCAATATGTAATTTAATAAGTTTAACAAATATACACAGATGTGTAACTACTATCACATACAAGATATAGGATATTCCCATCATGCAGAAAGTCAATCACTTGTTATTAGTCATTTCTCCTCCCCTTGGTCCCTAGCAACTACTGATACACTTTTTATTATCACACAGATTTGCCTTTTCCAGAATGTCTTTTTCTTTTTTCTGTGTTTAAATTGTTTATTTTTAATTTTTGTGGGTACACAATAAATGTATATATTTAAGGGGTATATGAGATATTTTGATACAGACATGCAATGTGTAATAATCACATCATGGAAGATGGGGTACCCATCCCCTGAAGGATTTATCCTGTGTGTTACAAACAATCCAAATATACTCTTAGTTATTTTATCTTATTTATTTATTTATTTTATTATTATTATTTTTATTTTTGAGACAGAGTTTCACTCTTGTTGCCCAGGCTAGAGAGCAATGGTGCCATCTTGGCTCACTGCCACCTCTGCCTCTCGGATTCAACCGATTCTCCTGCCTCAGCCTCCCGAGTAGCTGGGATTACAGGTGCGTGCCACCATGCCCGGCTAATTTTTGTATTTTTAGTAGAGACGGGGTTTCGCCATGTTGGCCTGGCTGGTCTCAAACTCTTGACCTCAGGTGATCTGCCTGCCTCAGCCTCCCAAAGTGCTGCGATTACAGGAATGAACCACATGCCTGACTGGCTCTTAGTTATTTTAAAATGTACAAGTAAATTATCATTGACTATAATCACCCTGTTGTGTTATCAAATCTTAGGCCTTACTCATTCGTTTTATTTTTTTGTAACCATTAATCACCCATACTTCTCCCCTACCCTTTCCAGCGTCTGTTGACTGTCCTTCTCCTCTCTATATGCATGGGTTCAATTGTTTTGATTTTTAGTTCCCACAGATAAGTGAAAACATGTGATATTTGCCTTTCTGTGCCTGGCTTATTTCACTTAACATAAAAAGATCTCCAGTTCCATCCATGTCATTGTAAAGAATGGAATCTCATTCTTTTGTTGTGGTTGAATAGTCTTACATTGTGTATACATACCACATCTCCTTTATCCATCCATCTGTTGATGGACACTGAAGTTCCTTCCAAATCTTGGCTATAGTGAACAGTGGGAATATGGGAATGGAGATACCTCTTTGATACACTGATTTTCTTTCTTTTGGGTATATACCTACCAGTAAGATTGCTGGATCACATGGTAGCTGTATTTTCAGTTTTTTGAGGAACATCCAACTGTTCTCAATAGTGATTGTACTAATTTACATTCCCACCAACAGTATACAAGGGTTCCCTTTTCTCCACATCCTCGCCAGCATTTGTTATTGCCTGTCTTTTGGATATAAGCCATTTTAACTGGGGAGGGATGATACCTCATTATAGTTTTGATTGGCATTTCTCTGACGGTCAGTGATGTTGAGCACCTTTTCATATATCTCTTTGCCATGTCTTTTTTTGAGGAATCTTTATTCAGATCTTTTGCACATTTTTAATTGTTTTATTAGATTTTTTTCTATACAGCTGTTTGAGCTCCTTATATATTCTGCTTATTCATCTCTTGTCAGGTGAATAGTTTGCAAATACTACTATTCTATAGGTTTTCTCTTAACTTTGTTGATTTTTTTTGCTGTGCTTCAAAGTTTTCACTTGTTATGATCTCATATGTCCATTTTTTCTTTGGTTGCCTTTGCTTTAAGGTATTACTCAAGAAATCTTTGCCTAGACCAATGTTCTGGAGTGTTTCCCCCAAAGTATTACTGTAGTAGTTTCATAGTTTGAAGTCTTAAATTTAATTCTTTAATCCATTTTGATTTGACTTTTGTATATGATGAGAGACAAGGTTCTAGTTTCTTTCTTCTGCGTGTCTATATCCAGTTTACCCAGCACCATTTATTGAAGAAATTGTCTTTTCCCCAGTGTATATTCTTGGCACACAGAATTTTGTATAATCTCATTCATACAGAATAAATCTTAATTTCTGGCTGTTTTATCTTAGTACAATATTTCTTAGATGCATTCACGTTAGTGCATATAATAGGTTATTCCATTTTATTGCCAAATAGTAAGAATTTCATTGTATAGATACACTATTTTCTTCTTTATCCATTATTGTTTTAATGATCATTAATTTGTTTCTAGGTTGGGATAATTGTTTAAACCTCCTTCAACTATTGCATACAATTCTTTGTATGAACAAATATTTCATTTCTCTTGGATAAATACCTTAATTGTATCTTTAACTTTATCAGAAACTGCTAAACTATTTTCCAATTGGCTATACCATTTTCCATACATTCTACTGGCAATGTATCAGAGTTCCACTAGTTATATCATATCCTCACCAGTACCTACTATGGTTAGTATTTTCAATTTTAGCCATTCTGGTGGGTGTAAAGTGGTATCTCATTATTGTTTTAACTGGCACTTTTCTATTGACTAACGATGTTCAGCACTTTTTGACATATTTATTTGCCATCTGCACCTTTTCTTGGTAAAATGCCATCACTGTATGAATCTTTAAATTTACAGACATGGAAACGAGTCTTGTTTACTTATTGTAGTGCCCTTTGAACTGAGAAGGGCTCTGTCTTAAAGATTGTAAACACGCATCTAACCAAGGTAAATATTCTCATAGAAGTAAGAAACACTAGGTTAATTCAGTGTATTACCTTATTTTGGCTTCCAGCTCATACAAAAATGAAAAACTCCCTAATCTTATTCACCCACAGACACGTAGTGTGAAATTGGTGAGTGGCCTGTATAAGCAAGCTGATCACAGAGGTATATGTCTTGTTAAATATATCCATTTCATGAATATCTTAATAGGAAAAAAGTCTGGGACTTTCAATGTCTGCTTTTCAAAAATGGAGAAATCTTACAGAGGTTACAGAAAACTTCACCAAATTAGCAGGCATGCTACTATTTTGGGCATAAATCCTCAGCACCATGAGGTTTTAGGTAGGTCATAAATGGCATTAACACATTTTTTAGTTTTTGTTTTGGCTACTCATCTAAGAGACGTTGACAGAGGCTGAGATTGAAGAATGGAAACTCTGGAACAAATGTCTGATTTACATATCAACAGATTAAGGAATCAACATTTCAAAGCAGGAATGACATAAGCCAGATATAATGTATGAAAAGGGTTTCATAACCTGTCTCATCTGAAAAATAGCATTTTGATTAAAAATCAGAAAGGATAATTGAAGTCATTTTTATATAAAAGGTGGGTGACAAGGAATGTTTGTCTGGCTTTTCAGGTATAGGGAGTATGGTTGCAAGGCTTTGTTGCCATCTAAATGTATCCTAAAAGATTAAGTCAGAAATGCCAAAGTGAGAATGAATACATTGAATTAACTTTTTGACATTTTTAACAGAACCTCTTTACTGGGACCAGGGCTTAGATCAATCTTTTCCAAGGTCAGTAAAGTAGACTTCAGAAAATGATGCCAAGTAATTTAAATGGGAGAAGACTGATATATAGACATTCATCTTTTCTAGAGAAGAAGAATTTCCACATTAATTTTATATATCTTTAACACTTGAAAATGATTTGGGAGTTGCTTTTAATTTAATAATGTTAGACCAACACCTGTCCTTTGTAATGTGGAAGCAGATGAGAGTATCAAATTGTCTCCTGTTTCAGTACAAGGGTCTGACTTAGAGTGGCTACCATAGGAGAACAATTTGAAGTGAAGCATAAGGGTCTAGAAGGAAATATTGAGTTGCTGCATAAGGTGCTCATATTTTGACATTTTACCCTTAAGGACAGTTCAGAGCAAGAAAGTTATCTTTTTGTAATCTTTGTAGCCATTTCAGTTCTCACTTCAATAGACATGAAAGCAAGGCTCTGGCCTTAATCCAAATAAACCAAACCATGTCAAAAGCAACACAATTCATGGAATTTGTATATATTACAGTAGATTAATCTGGATAGGCAATGATGAACTGATATTACCGAAGTAGCAATTTGTATCCATTTCAGAAACATCTTAATAGGAAAAAAAACTCTAGGCCTTTTATTACTGATAAAAAGTACTACTGATGTAGCAATTCATATATTACTAATGTAGCAATTCATATATATTTTATATTGGATTAGGATAACTAGGATGTTAAATAGTGTTTCATTTTATTTTGTTCGTGTCCGCATTAGGACACCAATGAAAATGATACCAAATTATTTATTTTTATCTTCCCCCAACTAAAAAAAGCAAAAGCAGGAAGAAAAATGAAATAAAATAGAAAAACAAATCATATAAAGGGATATTAAGCTACTACTAGGTATATGAATCAAACAGAATGATTTCACGATCCTTCACTGCTAGATTCCACAGAAAGGAGGTGGCAAGAGCTTATCTGAGATGTATAACCATACATTGCACATAAACATAAGGACAGTCGCTTAAGTGAACAGAATCTGAAAGTGATCAAATTACATAATTAAAGATCTAATGGTTATAAGATACATGTAGAAACAATATGGTTTCAGGATGTCAAGTAATTATATTTTATAGAGATTAAACACATGAGAATAATTATGTTCTATCTATAAACACATCTTTACCACTGCTGATATTATTCATTCCTTTGTGTAAACATAAATTTCCCTCTGGTATTATTCCTTTTTTCTGAAAACATTTCTCTATCATTTCTTGATGTAAAGGTCTAAAGGCAAAGGATTATTTTAGCTTCTAATTCTTTGAAAGAGTCTTGTCTTTGAGGAAAGGAAATACACTGGTTATATGATTCTAGGCTGAATATATTCTTTCTTCTTTCAGGATTTTGAAGACATTGTTTTATTATCTTCTGTTTTGCATAGTTTCTAAGGAAAACTATGCTTTAACTTTATTCTTTATAAGTAATGTTTCCTCTCCCTGACTGCTTTTAAGATTTTCTCTTTGATCACTAGTTTTTAGCAATTTGTGCCTTTTATGCTTATTTTACTTGTGATTTATTTAACATTTTGGATATATGGTTTTAAATATTTTATCAAATTTGGAAAATTTCAACCATTCCTTTTTCAAGTACAAGCCCGCCACAACACCCACCACCCCATGGTAGATCGCTGAATGTAGTCCCACAGGCTATGAATGTTCATAATATATAATTCATAATATATACCATATATATTACATATATATGTAGAGAGAGAGAAATAAATTAGACATATAGATAGATCTATATATATACAGAAATACAATGATGTGATTGTCACTCTGCCAAATATTGTATACAATTACTCATGTGTAGGGGAAATTTGGGGGCCAGTAATGTATAATTAATTTTTTCCAGTCATTTCCCTTTCTTTGGCTCATTTTTAATAGCTTATATTCCTATGTCTTAGGGGTAATGTTTATTCTACACTGTGGAATCTGTTGTTAATTCCATCAGATTATTTTTCATTTCAGATATTGTACATCATATCTCCAAAATTTTCATTTGTGTCTTTTTAAAAATATTCCCTTCTTCCTTTATGATGATCTCAGTTTCCTTTGCATTCTGAAAATATTCACAATTTACAACAGCTGTTTTAAGGATATTGTTTACTAATTCTTTCATTTGAGTGTCTTTCTTAGTTGATTTATCCCCCTTCCACCCCCCACAACCCCACACAGTTACATCTCATATTTTCTTGCTCCTTTTTTTGGTTGGTAATTTTTATTAAATATAAGACATTGTGATTTACACTGCTGCACACTGGATTTTGTTGTATTACTTCAAAGAATGTTGGACTTGCTTATGCATGCAGTTATTTTACTTGTGAATAAATTTGATCTTTCCAAGTCTTAACTGAAAGTTTTTTTAAACCAATTCCAGAGCAGCATTTGCTTTGGGGATAAATTAGTTCTACTACTCACTGAAAGTCTCAATACTTTCTATATGAAACTAGCTTCTCTCTGACACTCTGGCCCACAAATTCTAGACGTCTTCAACTCTATAAGCTCTAATATCTATCTTTTCAACTTAGACTGCTCAGCTCCATTTGGACTTCCCCTCCTCACTCTGCAGCCAGAAAGAAAGAATGCAGTAAGCTCAGAAAATTATGGCAATTTTCTCATTTGTTTCTTTCCAACATTGCCTATTGTCTATTATCTGAAAACATTCGTCCGGTTTTCTAATTTCATGCAGCAGGAAGCCAATCCTCATAGCAGTTAATTCCGCATTGGCAGAAGTAAAAGGCAAAACACTGTTTTCTAAAAGCTTTAGTTTTTTGTGTATTAACCAGACTAAAGCCAGTCCTAGCTTTTAACTACTCAGAATACAAAACAACACAAAACAAGAAAAACTCACCTTATATCCACACGATTTTTGTGTGATGCTTTAATTTTGAAATATTGTAATTACAAATGAATAATTCACAGAGATATTACCCATTGACAAGACTTCCAGAATAATGGTTTTATATATATATATATATATATATATATATATATATATATATATATATATATATATATTTATTTATTTATTTATTTATATATATATATATTTGGAGAGTAAATTCTGGTCACTGTCAAAGCAGCACAGAGCAAATTAATCAGGAAGATTTACTAGGTATAAAAATGTTAAATGTATATAAACAATTAAAAATTATAATGTATCTTACATCATTTAATAAGTAAATAAGAAAGGCATGAATTAAATTTTGAAAACTAGCTTGGTATGGTAGCACACAACTATAGTCCCAGCTACTCTACTTGGAGGGCTGAGGTGAGAGAGTCACTTAAGTGGAGGAGTTCAAGGCTGCAGTGAGCTGTGATGATACCACTGCATTCCAGCCTGGGTGAGAAATCAAAGCCCTGTCTCAAAAAAATAAAATAGAAAAAATTAGAAAAAAATTACTAATAAAATTAGAAACTATAATTATGTGATGACATACACATATTTTATGTATTATTACTTTCATATATATTGAACATTATATATTGGGCATTATACAATGTGGAGGAAAACCACTTGAGGTGGTCTTCAGCACATATTTTGATAAACGTGCATACACAAATACTTTGGCTGTGTGTGTATCATATGCTTTAGGCTTGGCTTGTGGAATTTTATATATATATACACACACACTATATTTACATATATATAAAATATACATATGATATGGTATATATAATATGAATATGATATATATCTACCATATATATTATATATATTTAGAGAGAGAGAGAGATCGATAGATAGATCTGTATATACATACAGAAATGCAATGTGATTTTCACCCTGCCAAATATTATCATATATACAATTACTCACGTGTAGGGGAAATTTGGGGGCCAGTAATGTATAACTTCTGTCTCAGCAAATTTTGCTGATTTCCTTGCCGTATGACCCAAGTGCTTTATGTCTTGTGCATAAGTAAATGCTGCTTATTTAACTGCATATAGGCATTCCAGATTCAAAGGATCCATCTCTATTGCTGATTACTTATGTTAGTTCTCAGCTTCACTATCTCTAATGTGGAGTATCGTGCTAGATTTTGCAGGATAAATTTTAATGGCCATTTGGACTCTACTTTCTTTCTGTTTCATGAGTACTATAATATTCAAATGTTTTCACTTTTGCCTTAGGATGTATAATACATATACAGAAAGCACACAAAACATAAAAAAACAGCTCTGTGAATTATCACAAAGCAAATACCCACATAGCTGCCAATCCCAGATCAAATATAGGAGATCGTCAGAAACTAGACATCTCCTTATAATCCTTCCCAATTTTATCCTTTTCTTTCCTCCCACAAAAAGGATATATTGGTCCTACTTTTAATAGCATACACATGGAATAATATAGCAAGCATGCTTTTGTGTTCAGCATATTTTGCTCAGCGTTGTGTTTGTAAGATTTATCCATGTTCCTCTTTTCACTCACAAAATTTCCCAAATACACTTCTATTGTTATCAATCCAGAAATTTAAAATTATTTTGCTGTGTTAAAAAGTGTTGCTCTTCTATCCAATTTAGTTTAACACTAAGTCATCATCATCAAGTCATATACTAACATATTTTAACATCTGTAAGGCAACATCCATTGTAAACAGCTTCATTATGCTATATGTCATTAAGAAAAGCTGTTAACTAAACTGTAAAATATTGATTTCAAATTACTTAAAATTTTCATGATACATATGTAAAATCTCTTATAGATATATTCATATAGTGATGTTTTATTATATATCATCTTTGTGCAAACATAAAAAGGAAATTATAAGTATAATAAATTGAAGAGATTCTAAGTTCTTAATATGCATGATTTAATGCTTCTTAATTATTAATTGTTTTCTTAGAGTTGGCAATGTCTAAAAGTTTTCATGCAGGATCAAAGTCTGTGTTGTCTGAGGCATTTTGAATACAGCTTTTCTGCATTGTGCCACTTTCACTATTCTGCAAATTTAGATGCTGATATTTTCTTAATCTCCTAAGGTAAGTGTCAGGAAAGGTACTTGGAGAACAACCAAGATTCATATTTTTCTATAAGTGTCTTTAAATAGTTTTAAAACTGAAAAAGATGTGTTTTGGTTTTTCTGCTATATCATGTGCCACATGATCAAGTTTGCACATGTGCTTACAGTAGTAACTGTAATATCTGTCTCCTGACCAGTATTAAGTATAAATACTTCAATTATAGGGAGCAAACTGATTTCCTAAAGTGAAAAAAGTGCATCTAAGAATCAATAAAATATGAGTTAACTGACTTTATGTATATGGAAATAGATGGGTACTCATATCATAATTTCAGGGTTTTTCAAATATCTTTAACCTTGAAATGTGCTCCTGGGTTATTTACAGTGACTCCAATTCTGTAACAGTTGCTAGCTGAAGGCTTTGCGTTGTCCAATCTCTGGAAATTAAGTTTAAAACCTCTGTTAAAAAAATACAATTTAAGCTTTTATCATGTTTGACTATAGAGGTAATTAATCATGCGCTAAAATGTGATAAAGAGTAATGTACCAGAAAACAGTGAACTTGATTTCCAGTGCTAGAGTCTTCTACATTTAAAAACATTTGTTTTCTTCAACCAGATTCATTTGTAAAATAAGAAAAGCAATAAATTTACTTTATAACATTAAGATAATAAAATGGAACAATTAATGTAAGGAGTTTAACCTACAGAAAATACTTATTAAGCATTCACTGTTATTAGATATTATTAGATTTATAAGATTTATAATCTTGAACAAATCGCTTCATTTCTCTGAACCTTAACATTTTTTTGCAAAGCATAGAGAAGCTCATTTCTAAGTTACTTTCACAATTTTTAAATTTTTTATGACTCTAATTTTTAGGTAGTTTTTGGTTTCATAGTGATGGTGGTGGTGGTTATTGCTATAAAATGCCAAAAAATATATCGAAACTTGCAGGTAACAAGAAAATGCTGGATGCTTCAAAATAATCTTTTCTCTTATGACAGCTTTGAGGAGTAACTCTGTGAAGGGTGGAGGGTACTGTGTTGAATATTTACAAGGAGCAATACATGAGAGAATAATTGTATACTCGTAGGCTGCTCAGAAACTGGGTGGCTCCTTCTGAAATTGGCCAATGCAGCAAATAAAAATAAAAATCTAACCTGAAGTGTAGAGATTTAGAGACATGTAAGAATTTTTTACATGTTTGTCTAAATTTCAGTTACACTCTTAGTATTTTAAGAAATACACCAAGATTGTAGGCTGGTAGGACTTTGCTGAATAAATTAGTACCATATTTAACTGTTTGGTGGGAAGGATTCACTTACCTGACCCCTACTAATTAATGAATTAATTGGGAAGGCATAATTTTTCTAAGTACTAACCACACATTTACCTTATCTTTATTATCTTTTTATGCTAATCTCCAATGCAAATTCATTGTCATACTATTTATCAACCCAATCCATCTTCAGCTGATAGAATTATAAAAATAATATTTGGTGTCAGAGAGAGAAGCTTCAATGGAAAATAGAAATTTTGTTCTCTTAAGAATTCATTATAAACTTTTCATTTAAACTTAATTCCAAATTTGAAGTGAGCCAGAGTAGGAATTTGAATTGGAAACACGGTAATATCTTTGATCTAGCATCATATATAAATAAGCTGTTTTACGAAATTAATTTTCCATATACCTGAAGCTTATTGGCTTAAGAACCAACACCTTTAGATTTCATAGTTTTGTATGAAAATATTTTATATTGCTTTATGTGATTGTGTGCTTTTAAAGATATTATATGGACTATCATTCTACCTTTTCTTAATGACTCCAGTAACTATAATGACTTACTCTTTCTTTTTTATTTTCAATCACATCATCATAGGCATTTTCTTTTGACTTTTGTTTATTTTACCTCCTCCTCTCCTCCTTTCTTCATTGGCTCTGCTGTCTGTGCCTAACTAACTATGTTGTTGTACTGCTTTTAGTTAGGTGTGACCTGTGAAAGCAAGCAATCAAGCTTGTTGTGGTTTTATGTTAAATTAACTTGGACAATAATATGCAAATTACTAAGGTCAGTTTGGGCTGGTTAATGAAGATAAGCAAGACATACTACCTGAGTTACTCGTCTCTGGAGGATGCTATGATTTTCTTTTTTTTTTTTTTGTATGTTGTGATGAAAGAAAAACTTCAGCCAAATTAAATGTAAAGCCCTTTTATTGACCAAGAGACAAATCTTCAAAATCAAACAAATCATGAATCATTGAATTTTTATTTAAAGCAACTAAAAATTTCCATTAAATGAGCATAACTACATACTTTGGGATTCTATATAACTGTATAAATTGTTTATACATTTAACTATAGTAATGTGCCAAAATAAGAATAATATGCCCTAAAGTATAATTAGGAAAAACAATGATTTATAATTAGATAAGATACAGGTCAGTCAGATGCAATTTCACTGACATGACACGTTTCTCTATTAAATCATATAATATGGTAATGGACAGAATTCTAGATCTGAATACTATCTATTAATAAATTTATCATAAATACTGTACTCTGCATCAACAATAATAATTTTAATCAAGAAACTGCAAATAGTCTGGGCACAGTGGCTCACACATGTAATTCCAGCACTTTGGGAGGCCTAGGTGGGTGGATCACTTGAGGTCAGGAGTTCAAGACCAGCCTGGCCGACATGGTGAAACCTCATCTGTACTAAAAACACAAAAAATTAGCTGGGCATGGTGTCAAATGCCTGTAGTCCCAGCTACTTGGGAGGCTGAGGCAGGGGAATGGCTTGAACCCTGGAGGCAGAGGTTGCAGTGAGCCAAGATTGTGCCACTGCACTGCAGCCTGAGCTACAGAACAAGACTCTGTCTCAAAAAAACAAAAAAGAAAGAAACTGCAAATAATTTTGTTCATACTGTAATTTTACAGTATCTTTCTGCTTCTTCCTGCTATTCCAATATCTCAGTTCCTTTTTATAATACTTTGAACTATACTAAACCTAAATATTATAAACAAGTTTCTCCTTCAAAACAGACCTTCTACCAGAAAACCTTTATGAAATACTTGCCCAATAAATAACTCAAGTTCATTAAGGGTTGGATAGAGGAGTGTTAGGAAAAATAGCTAAAAAGATTCTTTAAGAGAGATGATAATGAGAAAAAAATTAAGAAACATTGACATATAATAGAAAAACTGAAATTGTCAGCTGCTTAACCTTGCCAAAATTTTTATAAAATACAGAACTGACTGCATTTTACATTATAAACTCAACATGCAGTTATTCATTGCCCATGGTGCACTATATACTGGGAATAAAGCTTGGAAAAAAATGGTAAAGGTTCTTTTGCAGCTTACAATTTAGTAGTAAGACAAAAATTTATACATAAATACAAAATTTATGTAATATCAGATATTTATATGGGCCGTTAACATATGAAAAGCTACTTTAAAGATTCTGAGTTCATAGTATTTATTTAATTAAACAATGTTATTGGGCACTTTCTGTGTGTCCACACTGAACTAGATAATATGTAAACAAACACAAGAGTTACATTTCTGCCTTAATGGAGCTTACAATTTAGTAGAAAAGACAGACAATAACTTTAGCAAGGCTGCCATTTGTCTTCCACTGTTTATTCTCACCTTCTGCTTTACCTTTGAGTTATCTTGGCATGTGGCCACCAAGCTAGACTGCTCTTCCCAACCTTTCTCTCAGCTAGCTGTGACCACACAGTTAAGTTTTAGCCAATGGGATGCAAGTAGAAATAGTGGCTATAGCTTCCAGTATTAAACTCTTTGCTTCCACCTACTTATTTTCCCCTTGTTTGAGAGCAGGATATTGGTGAAAAATGAAACTGTCTTGAATTCCAAGATTAAAAACTACATAAGGAAGTTTGCAGAGCCTCTGCTCCAGATCAAAATCATTTACCTCTGGTTTGTTTTGTGAGTGAGAAAACAAATTCTATCTCTTTCAAGCTACTGAATGGCAGGGTCAAGTTTTTGTTATTGCTTGTTTTTTAATAGCAACTATGTTTGTATCCTAATACACACAACTCTGAATTGTGTTAAATGTTATAAAGAAGAGAACATGGTGATTGAGAGAAAAATAGTAGGAGGTAACTACTTAAGATTAGGAAATTAGGCCCCTCTAAGAAAGTAAATTTAACTTGACATTTAAAGAATAGGAGTTAGCGTATGAGGGCAGGTATGCAAAGTTCACACAGTAGAAGGGATTAGGGACATTTTAGGAATCTCTGAAAGTTCAAAATGGGTACAACTAAGAAATAATGTGCCAGGCAGGTGAAGGACAAGGCTGGAGATAGACCATGTACATCTTAAAAAGTGTTTCCATTTACTCAAAGTGTCAGGGGCAAGAAGTAAAATGTCATGATTTTGTTGCCATTTTTTAAAGAGCTACCTGACTTATGAATTGTAGAATGTGCATTGCTTGCAACCAAAGTGGAAGTGAGAAGATCAGTTAGGAGAGTTTTTGATGTAGGTCAGAGATGTTGGTGTGTATTAGTCGGTTCTCATGCTGCCAATAAAGACTTACCCGAGACTGGGTAATTTATAAAGGAAAGAAGTTTAATTGACTCACAGTTCCACATGGTTGGTGAGGCCTCACAACCATGGCAGAAGGCAAAGGAGGAGCCAAGTCACATATTGCATGGTGGCAAGCAAGAGAGAGAGCACGTGCAGTGGAACTCCCCTTTATAAAACCATAAGATCTTGTAAGACTTATTAACTATCATGAGAACAGTATGGGAAAGACTTGCCCCCATAATTCAATTACCTTCCACCGGGTTCCTCCTGTGACACGTGGGAATTACAAGAGCTAAAATTCAAGATTTGGGTGGGGATAGAGTTAAACCATATTATGGTGCCTTTAAAGACACTTTTATAACATATTATGTATGAAAAGTCCACTTTTGGGAGGCTTGAATCTTTTAAAATACTAAAATATAAATTGGCAGACTCATCAAAAAATTCGATCTTGCTTCTCTTTAGATCAGTCGTAAATGCTACTACATGTGCCTTCACTCGCTGATGATACATGACTCCCCTTTGGTAGTTCCCTGACATTACTAATATTATACTATAACATTGCTGTTCTGACTTACAGTAATTAAGCTTCTGGTTTTTCCTGTTTGTTTTTCCAAATTGAATCGCCTTTCAAGGCAATCAGGCACTCTTTCTATTAAACCATCACTGTATACAAAAAACAAACACGCACTAAGAGCATGTAAGAATAGAAGTGCTTCTAGAGTTCCCATATTATATTTTAGAGAATGTGACATTCCATAATAAAAGGATTTAAAAATCTCATTTATTTTGTATTTATGTGCTAGTTTTCCTTAATTTTTTTCCAGTCTAAACTATCTAGGAGAGATCATTGTAGAAAAACATATCCAAAGCTTTTTAACTAAATGTTCCAGTGATATTACACTCTATTTAAAAGTTTTCCTGGCCGGGCGCGGTGGCTCACGCCTGTAATCCCAGCACTTTGGGAGGCCGAGGCGGGCGGATCACGAGGTCAGGAGATCGAGACCATCCCGGCTAAAACGGTGAAACCCCGTCTCTACTAAAAATACAAAAAAATTAGCCGGGCGTAGTGGCGGGCGCCTGTCGTCCCAGCTACTTGGGAGGCTGAGGCAGGAGAATGGCGTGAACCCGGGAGGCGGAGCTTGCAGTGAGCCGAGATCCCGCCACTGCACTCCAGCCTGGGCGACAGAGCGAGACTCCGTCTCAAAAAAAAAAAAAAAAAAAAAAAAAGTTTTCCTAGGAATGGTATCTAGGTCTGTAAAGAACTTTATGGGTGAGAGTATTTTATTCTGTAATCTATCTATTCAGTTTTAAATGAGCTCCTTTGACTTTGATTCCAAAGTTAGCCCATATTGTCCCAAAGCAAATTGATTGTCTGGAGGTCCCAAACTGTCAAATTCAGAGAATCACAATAAAACTGAGGGTATTTTCTGTAGTTCACCAATCTAATTAACATGATCAGTCAGCTGAGCAAACTGTCACACTAGCAAGTCAATTGTTAGGGTCATTTCAGGTATTTTTAGATTAATGTCTTCAATAACACAAGAAACAGTGATGCTGATCTTTAAGGAAAGGTAATAAAGAATTGTAACTGAAGAAGAATAGTCCTGTCAGTTTCCCTTCTACAGTCTATATATGATAAATTTAATCTAGAGTGTGAGCAAATACATTAAAGGAACTTTGGCTTCTGAATACTTAGGCTCAGCAGGATTTTTTCCCAAACTTTCTCAGGGAATTATATGACTAGTATTAATGAAACTATTTTTGTAAATATACTTTTAACATTCAAGTTTGTTATATGTGAGACAAATTTAAATGGATATCAAACAGTACTAAATATAAAAATATTTATTGCAAAGTTTAAGTCTTTGGAGATCTGAACTATTATTTCATCAGTTCCTGTTAGCTCTATGGTGAATGTATACATGGCTACTATTTCTACACTCACTGAAATGGGGTAGGTGAGTGTTAAAGCAAACTAAATATGGCCTGAGAAGGACTCCGTACTTCTATATTTGAGTGCTGGTGGATGAACTGTAACCTAGCTTAATAGGCAGACAAGATTGAAAACCTAATTTAGGATTATGTGCCTGTAACAATAGCTGAGTCTTGGCCAATCCCAGTGGCCACACTTCAACCACTCATAGACTTGTAAGTGTTCAAACTGTGTTCAAATAAGCCAAACACCAACCTGTAACCCATTCAGCTTTTTCTGTATCTCACTTTCGATTTCTCTACGCCATTTACCTTTTATTGTCTATAAATTTGTTCTGACCACAGGCATCTCTGTAGTCTCTCTGAATCTGATGATATTCTGGGGGCTGCCCAGTTTGTGAATTGTTCATTGCTCAATTAAACTCCTTTAAATTTAATTTGGCTAAAGTTTTTCTTTTAACAGATGGTGTCAGAAGTGGGTTCTGAAGTAGATGGTCTAGAACCCCCCAGGAGCATTGAGTGAACAACAAGATACCTGCTGGACCCACCTGTGTCCTTTGGTCTCTGAGTAGCTGGGGATCATAATTAAGTTCTCTCTCTGATTTCAGAGCTCTACAGATTTGTGTTTTGAGCTCTCTTGTTTTGAGCTTTATTTGGGTAAATTTCTATTCCAGACTGGGTTTGGAAGTTGCAACAGAAACTAGACTGGGCCCAGGATGGGATTTGATTCAATAATTAACTGGCTTGGATCCAGAGGCATCTTACATCTGACTGGGTCAGAAAGAAACTGGTAGTAAATTGTAATATTGCAGTGTTTGTAAAATTTGGCTTTTGGAAAGTCATGGGGATTTTTGTGTTCTACCTCTTTGTTTTATTTTTCTTGCATGCTTAGGTAGGAAAAAAAGTCATAGGCTAAGTTAATCAAGGGAACCTGAGAGCAAAGCCAATATTTTAGGTAAAAATCAATTCTTAATTTCTGAAAAACTGAGTTCCTGCCAGCTTATACACTAGGCCCTGGAAGCAGCAAAGTCTTACAGAAATCTTAATAAAGATAACTTACAGTAGAACATTCCAAATGGACAACAATGCACGGAAAGGCATTTAAAAAAAAAGCAAAGATTTTCTTTTGAGTTGTGGCTTGGACCCCAGGGCTATAGTGTGGTGAGCAGGGTTACTAGGGTACCTCAGGGAAAAGAACCCAGAAGTCTGCTATGCCGGCAAAAGGGTAAGAATCTCAGACTTCTGGTCTCTCTCTCTCTGTTCAAACCAGTTGAATGAATGGTAAAAATAACTATATCCTCTGCAAAGTTTTAATTAATGGAAGATAAGAATTCTGAGGCTAGTCTTAAGCTGTAGTGAGTCTGGTGTATTTTGTGCTGTGAATTTGTTTTTCTGCGTTGGGGGTACCTTAGGATAGAACGTGGGTTTACGACCCCATAAGCCTGCTGCTCAAGACAGCCCAGCTAGCTGGTCCATAACAAATTTCTGCAGGTCCCTCAAATGAAAAAAAAAACCTGAATGAGGTCTCCATCTTGTATTATGTCCTTGGGAGCTTGACCTTGTAACTCTGTGGTGGTAATTTCTCTTTGTCTCTGCTTTCCAGGGAACAAGAATTTTAGGGCTCATGTTACAGTTAGCTCTAAAAATTATCTTGAGTAGGTAAAAACCTTTGTAACCTCAAAAATAACTACTCTAGACTCCTTCTGGGAAGGGCAACAGATACTGCCCAGTGCTGTAGCTCAGTAGCTAGTCTTCTGTCCTTTCACAGTGGCGGCCTGGGTTCGATCTTGGCTTAGGGAATGAGTCCTTTGGTTTAATACCTGTGTGACTTTTATCACTTGTAAAGGTCTCTTCCCCTCCATGAACAACTTCTAGTTTCCCTTCTTAAATCTTCCCTTCTCTCAGCTGCCTTTAAAGATTCTAGATTTTGTAAAAACAGATGATCACTTATTTGAAAATACCTCATACACTCATGGTTAAGTCATAACCTTAGTTGAGGCTTGTTGGTTTCACCTGTGAGGTAACTTTTGGTAAAGTTTAAAAGCCAGATATATTGGCTGTGGCTAAAATTGGGTAATAAGAAATTTAAAAGTACTTTTTTTTTTTAAAAAAGGGAGTGCTATAGTTAAAACTCAGCTTAATTAAAAGTGGATATCCAAGCTACAGGTACATTTAAAAGGCCTTTATGTCTTTTCTCTCCATTGATCTTGTTTTGCTGGAAAAAAAGGTTTTTTTCTTCTCAGTCGACTGAATTATTTTTCTCCATTTTGTCTTGCCACTCTTAATGCACACAGGAGAGGCCCTAAAATAACTTCTGATAGCCTGGGACTCCTTGGGAAAACAGACAAGGCTCCATTGACCCCATTTTTGAAAAAACAAACTAACAACAACAACAGAAAAAGCACCTCTGTTTTCCTCATGGAACCCCAAGAATTAAAACTGGATAGATCCCTCTCATAATCTGTTTTGCCTTCCAGCTGTGCCTGCTTATTAGGCTTTAGAAACTGAATGTTTTCCTAGTCATTTCTTGAGGGGCTCCATGCTAAAGCCAGTAATCCAATTAAGAAACTTAGAAACTGTTAAATGAAAAATCTTACAACTACTGGATCTTTTTGTCTGTCTGTCTGTAGTAATATATGTGTTGTGTGTGTAATATTTATATAAAAGAGCTCTAATTAATTGGCTTAAAGAAAAGTAAGTGCTAAAATCAAATTTTTTAAAAAAAATAGAAACTAATGTCTTAGTTCGTGTAACTTTAGTAACTTGGGAAATAAAAACAGCTTTAAAGATAATTGGCAAAATAAAAATATTTGGTCTGAGTTACACAGGTCAGGTATTAGGTTTGCTCAGTGCTTTAAGATCATAAACTTCTTCTTTGACTTTAAAAAATTGTTTAATGTATTTTGGAGAATAAGATTTAAATAAGGCCTGAGGACATGTGGAATTAGCTATGCCCCCTACCTATGGAAAGCAGGTTATAAAGAAAAAAGGGATTTTATATAAGAAAGTATCTTGTATGGTAAATTCTTGTTCTAAAGTAAAGTAAAATAACCAGTTGTTTAAAAAGAGGGATGCTTAGGTCAAGTCAGAAAGTCCAAGCATGTTATAGATGGTCTAAGTTGTGAAAGGATATTTATGTACCAAAACTAAAAGTTTCTAAGAGTTACCATTATAACATATAATTGAGACTACTGAAAACACAGTTTTAAATGGAAGGTATGTGAGGGAAGTTAAATATGTTTTAGTAAAAGATTATAAGAATGCATGGGAATGTATATTTTTGCCTGGTTTAGAAAAGTAGAAGATTGTTTAAAATTAATAAGATAAAGCTAAACGTTTGAACAAGTTGTGGAAGGTGTGTAAAAAATTAATCTTGGAAAAAGAAATTCTGTGTGGACATTGGTTAACGTTAAAGGGGTATTAATTTTTTTTAATAAATTGAACATTGGAATAAAAGCACAACAGGTTTTTTAGAGCACTGATCTGCTCTTTCACAAAAACTGTGAAGGGTTATAAAAGGTTTATGAGAATCTCAGCCTTATGGTCAAACCAATGAAGACTGATACATTTGTCTATAAGGTTTTATTAAAAATTGGCTTGATGTTACTAGAACGTTAATGCAAGGGTGAAATTTGGTTTTATCTCTTGAAGAAGATTTTCATGTAATATTTATTAAAAGATAATGAAAGATTTTTGCCTTTTTAATAAATTACTGAAAAGACAAGAGATCGATTGTTTGGAAAGCTAAGTCTTCCCTCTATCAATAACTAAAGGTTTTTGCCTTTAAAAAATTTTTGAGTCATCATTTTGGTGAAATGAATGACTTACTGTAATCTGGAATTCTATTTCATAATATCAAGTGTTTTAAACCTTTAACCTATTTGATAGGCTTCCCAAAATCAAATTTCAGCTTCAAAATTGTCTTTTCTAACCTGTAACTTTGAGATGCTACAGACGGCCCCTGAAGTATTCAAAAGAGAAGTAAACAGGATTATTTGATATGTTTAGTTACATGGGAAGAACTACCAAAATTTAAAATAATGTTAATCTTAGGGTTATATTTTAGTGAATGATATTAATATATGTTCCCAAATTGTATGGGATTTCTAAAATTCTAAATATGTCTGAGTAAATACTATCAATGATAATTAAGGATATTATGTTAAGTACCAAAGATCACTGAAACAACCAAATTGCCTTGTCAACTGTGTCTATCACTATGACTAAAGTTGTTTCCACAGTTGCAGTTTCTCAAAAGTTCACAAGCACACAAAATCCTAGAATATGGTGTCTTTTAGGAGGTTCACGAAAGGATGGAAAGAACCTTGAAAAGGACTCTTGAATACAATTTTCTAATAACTTTAAATTCATATCATTTGGACTGAGTGATAATTCCAGAAACTTTAATAAAAAGACTGTCTGGTTAATAAAACTGAGAATCTCAGTAGAACAAAAACAAACTGAATACCAAGAAAATACTTTACCAGATTGTCATGTTAAACCAGCTGATACTAAAATTGTTTAAATATGCAATTTGAATGAACTCCATGGTCTAAGTCAAATTAACTATGATAACCCATTAGTTATCAGTGCTATGCACATAAATTTTAGAAATATTTTTATGCAAAATGACATAAGTCCAATGTTGAGCATGGAATCACGGAGAACCAGAATGGCCACCTTGTTCTTCCTGACTCCTTAAAGCTTCTGGTTTTAAAGGTTCTGCATTGCATGACTCATCAAAGAAAAGATAAAATGATCCAAATTAAATACATACTGGTGTGGTGACTTAAACTTGCTAAAATAGTTTATAACCAATGTTTGTTTGGTTTGTTAAATCCATATTCCTGGGAAGACAATCAAAGCTTCAAGTACATTTTGCTACCTGATGGGCCACTTAAACACTTACAAATGGATCTCATTCAATTGTCATTATCAATACATGTTTTCTGGTTGTATAAAAGCTTCCCCATGCAAGAGGGCTGATGTTATAACAGTAGATTATTATGCTACAGTGTATTTTCACCAGGTAAAGAAAGATTATGGTTCACTGACTGAGGACAACCCCTTCACAATATACAACCCAAAGACTGGGTCTTCTGAGAACATCAGAGAAAGACAATCCTTGCCATCCACACTACAGCAAAACTTTGGGACTTGAATTCTAGGCTCATAATCTCACAACTGAGAAGGGTCCCTCCACACCTTTGTAACTGTACACCTACTTGAACCCTTAAGGTAAAGCTAACCAGGAAAGTTTCTCCCTAGAAGAAGATGGCATCCTTGGCATCTTCTTCCAAAATAACAGATCAAGACGTCTCTACTATCATGAGACTCTTACCTTTGAATATTTTTTTCCCTTGGTTATAACTTTATGAACAATAGAATTGAAAAGGGGGTCTGTTATGTGCACTTATGGGATATACTTTTATTTGTGAAGGATTTTGCAGCTAGTCTTGTACATGGTGAGAAACAGAAAATTGGTTCACTCCTCTTAACCCACATCACAGGTTAAAGAGAGCATTGCCAGAAAGCCTTCACTCTTCTGAAAGGCATCATGTATTAGGTTCTTTTTCCATGATTTGAAATAAAAGAGACAATGATTAGAAATGTATTCTTCATGACAGTCCCTCCAGCAGATTCTACCATAAAGGCTATGGTTACACAACAGGCTTTAAATTATTTTGTGAAAGTTATGATAAATAGTAGAATTAGATAAACAGAGAAATATTTGTGCAGCTGCTGGCACTTGTGGCCTATGGAGAAATACATTGGGTATTATAGAAATTCAGCTGTAGGGATTAACAAAAAGACGACTTAGTTAAGTGAGTAGAGGCTTTAGCTCATTCTTTGATCTATTTGATTTTAGGTGGTTTGGTTTATGGGTACCCTAGTTAAAGAGCATACTCCAACCTCTTGGTATTATTCTCCCGATTGCCATAATAGTAGTTGCTCCGGTGCGCTGTATTCACTAAAAGGTATTAAATGTTTGCATGCAGCCATCTCTAGAATGTCAAATGGTCTCTCTTCAACTGGAATGACAAAAGCTCAAAGAAATGTGTGACCATGAGGACACTGTAACCTATGAATGACATGCTGAGACTGGAAACCCAAAGTGATGATAACTGAGAGTGGCAATAAGGCCCTAAGTTTTGGTCACACTCTCATCTAAGTAAGAATCTGACAAAGAAAGAAAGGGGAATTTTTTTTTTTTAACACAACTATGGGAGGCCCTTGTTTTGCACTACACCCCAGCAGACCAAACAAAGCCAAAGTAGAGTCACTAGTGCTAAATATGACATAGTTTGACAGTTTGGGACCTTCAGACAATCACTTAGCTGTTAGACAAGATGGCCTATCTTTGGAATCAAAGTCAAGGGAGCTAATGTAAAACTGAATAGATTACACACAAAATATTCTCACCTATAGAGTTCTTTACAGACCTAGATACCATTTCTAGGAAACCTTTTAAATGGAGTGTAATATCACTGGAACGATTAGTTCAAAAGCTTTGGATATATTACAGTCACTAGTCACCAAATTAGAGTCACTAGTGCTAAATGTGACATAATCAAACTAAGACTTTAAGAAAACACATAGATCCTAGAACATACCAGGTTTTGTTTTTCTCCTGAAGTTTACAATGGTAATAGTGACATCAATGACAAAGTTTTGGTCAATCTCTCAAAATTGAGAACATGACCAAAAGGGGGGAATTGTTAAAGCAAACTCAATATGGCCTGAGAAGGACTTTGCACTTCTATATTTGAGTGAGTCCTTCTAGATGAACTGTAACCTAGCTTAATAGGCAGACAAGATTGAAAACCCAACTTAGGAGCATACACATATAACAAGAGCTGAGTTTTGGACAATCCCAACAGCCATACTTCACCACTAATAGACTCGTAAGTAAATGTTCAAACTGTGTTCAAATAAGGCAAACACCAACTTGTAACCAATCCATCTATTTCTGTACCTCACTTCCGATTTCTGTACACCACTTCCCTTTTTTTGTCTATAAATTTGTTCTGACCACAAGGCATCCCTGGAGTCTCTCTGAATCTGCTGTGATCCTGGGGGATGCCTGATTTGAGAATTTTTTCATTCCTCAATTAAACTCCTTTAAATTTAATTCTGCTGAAGTTTTTCTTTTAACATGAGTAACTGAGAATTATTAGGGTAACACTCAAGAGGTTATCATGAATGTATTAGGATATATAAACAGAGTCAACTTGAATGTGCATAGGTTGCAAAAACAGAGCTTATAGAGAATTATAATAGACTATTGTTGGAATTTGACTATTTTCCTCCTATGTCCTTCTATCAAACCCATTTTGTCGTCTTGAAAAAGTGTCTATTTTCTGGGATCCTAGTGCAAGTAAGTTCCTATCTTGACCATGCTTCTGTAGAGCTCCCATATTTTAGAGAATGTAACATTCCATAATAATCAAAAGGGTAAAAAAATCTAATCATTTTTTAATTATGTGCTGGTTTTCCTTTATTTTTTCCCAGTCTAAACTATATAGCAGAAAGCATTCTAGGAAAATATATCCAAAGCTTTTGAACGAATGGTTCCAGTAATATTACACTCCATTTAAAGTTTTCCTAGAAATGGTATCCAGGTCTGTAAAGAACTCTATAGGTGAGAATATTTTGTGTGTAATGTATTCAGTTTTACTTTAGCTCCTTTGACTTTGATTCCAAAGACAGGCCATCTTGTCTAACAGCTAAGTGATTGATTGTCTGAAGGTCCCAAACTGTCAAATTCAGAGTATCACAATAAAACTTATTTCCTGTAGTTCACCAATCTAATTAACACAAACTAATTAACATAACCAATCATCTTTATAAACTATCAATCATTAAACAATATAGAATATCCAAGATCTTTTTGCCTGAGAACAATCTCAACTTCAGCTGTTTGTCCAAGCTTGCCTTTGCTTGGCTTTGGCGAGGCCTGAATTTCATCAAATCTTTTATATTTGTACTTAGTGAAGTTTTCTTTTTCTAGCAACCAAAAATATGATTCTTCAATACATAACTAGATTTTAAGTTATAGCAAAAGCACAACCATCTAGAGTCTCAAGTCAAAAGGATGGTTCAGTACTTTTAACTCATATTTGTGTGTGTGTATATATATATATGTAATATTAGTATAGTGAGACCTGCATTTAGTTAATAAAAAATAGATGCAAATGAAGAATGTGCTGGCTTATTTATAAAATAAATGTATAAAAATATTGTAAGTTCAGGATATAGAGAAGAAGAAATAATAACACATTAAAAAATAAAGTGGAAGTGCAGGTTAAAAAAATCACTTTTCCGCTAATATCTTTTAATAACTGTTAACTGTTTTTCTTATATAGGATTTTGTATAGTTTTCTCAATACTTTTCTTTACAGTTTATATATGTGGTCCTGTATCCCTAGTAATATTCTATATCATTTGAGAACAGGACATTTATTCTATCCTTCTCGGTTTAAAACTTAAACATTTGGATGTTTGTACCACAATTCGTAACTGAATACAGAACAGAATAGTTGTTACAATGCAATAAAACAGCCTAAAACTCTTACTGGCTCACGAGAACAAAGGTTTAATTCTAGATCCCACTATACATTCGTTCTGGGTGAACTGTGAATTTGTTCCATGTAGATATTGCATAAGGGAGAAGTTGTGCATGGGAAACCTTCTGCAGGCTCTTTTTCTTCATAAGTAACACTTGTTACTGACTCTCACATTTGATTAGATTAATCAAGACAAATGACCAGATGTGGTGTCAACGTGTCTAGAAAGTACAATTTACTCATATCAAGGAAAATAGAAGAGAGAAAAATAAGGATTTTGAGAAACATACAATCTACCACAAATTATGTTAGCTGAAACCATTTACTTAATTCCTCCAATTCGCAAAGAATCTATTAGACAGAAATGCAAGTAGCCACATATGTGCAAACATCTATCACAATATTTGACATATTGTGGACACTCAATAAAGTTATTTTCCCTTCTACATTTACAATTCTAAAATAATTTACATTCCATGTGGTAAGTGCTCAAAACTATTTTATGTGAAGACAATAATTATGAAGTTACATCCATTTCATACATACTCACTCATCTACATATGCCAGAATAAATCACAGTCTTTGTTGTTGAATGAGTCCTATCTGATGGCAGAAATAAATTTATATTGTCTCATTTATGCTATTACATTTCTATAGATTAGATTATAACTCGCGGTCATGGATGTTCCCCCAAAAAGCAGAGCCTTAGGCAAAAGACTATATTTTGCCACTCTATTGAGGAATGCAATTCCTAGAATTCAAAAGCGAGAGGAAAGGAGAATGAGTCAAGAAGAAAATGTAAGCATGTGTGTTTATTAGTGGCTGACTACAACTTAGAATCAATTCATATGAGGACTTTATATTACAGAGTTGACTTCTTTGAGACTTTTAAGAAATGCTATACCACATGAAGTCCAGCCTAAAAGATAAAAAAGATAAATATGATTCAAAACTAATACATTAAATTAGAAATGCACACAGTTCATTCCTAGTTGTTATTTAAGTTTTAATCCTCTAGGTGTTTAAATCAGGCAGTGCTACATTAGCTATGTAATTATAGAGTCATAATTCCAAACCCTAATGAATTATTTTTCTTACCTTAATGCTTGTTTTTCCTCAAATTAAGAATTTTTTTGGCTGGGCACAGTGGCTCATACCTGTAATCCCAGCACTTTGGGAGGCCGAGGTGGGCAGATCACCTGAGGTCAGGAGTTCGAGACCAGTCTGGCCAATATGGCAAAACCCCATTTCTACTAAAAATATAAAAATTAGCCAGGCATGGTGGCAGGCGCCTATAGTCCCAGCTACTCGGGAGGTTGAGGCATGAGAACTGCTTGAACCTGGGAGGTGGAGGTTGCAGTGAGCTGAGATTGAGCCACTGCACTCTAACCTGGGTGACAGAGTGAGACTCTGTCTCAAAAAAAAAAAAAAGAATTTTTTCATTTATCCCTATAAACTCATTTTCTCTTTGAAATCTGCAATTGCTAAAACAATTAGCCATTTATAAATTATGATAATTTTTGTATGGGATAATGATATAGAACTATTTATATGGCTTTTACTGGTAAATGTACATTGTTGACATACCTCCCAAATTAAATACCACAAAAGAGTGGTAGGTAGTGACAGTCTATTTCACTGGTATTGAAAGGGCTTGATTTTAGTCCCAACGCTGTCATTAGCACTGTAACAATGTATAAGTAAGTCACTTAAGATGTCTGGACATCAGTATCTTGTTAATTTAACAGAAGATTAAGAATATATTCAGTCTATGCTATGCAGAATCATAGGAGTTCTATGTAATACTTTAATAATATTTTGGATGGAAGTCATAATGAATGAATAATATGTTAATCTATAACTTCTTTGCACATTTAAGGGTTTTTACCAAAACTTCTAACTTTTATCTGATTTACTGATTTGGTGTCTGAAAATACTTTTATTTAGAAGGCGTCTCACTTGCTTAGAAAACCAGTGGATCAAAATCCACGAAAATACCTGATGCTATGCAACTTGACTTTGCAACACTCAAACTAAAAATTGAAGTACCCTCCATAGTAAACTCTTGAGAGTATCCAAGATATATGGTCATATTGATGAAGGGATTCAATTATCAGTGACAGAAACTTGCACTGAAAATTAATATAAGTAAAATGAAGGGTATTGATCACTGTCAACTCACCAGGAGGGAACAAAAAGAGAAAAAAAGATGTCAGCATATTTGGAAAGATAGATAATGGAAAAATGGAACACAGTATCTACTTGATAGTTTCTCATGTCAGTTACTACAGCTATCAAGCCTTCAGAGGAAGCCAGAGTGACCCAGGTAGCATTTAAATTAATGTGGAAATATAAGTTTAAGCATAGACAACTATGTTTTCTTTTTATCAAATCTATCAAATAATAGTACAACTATGTTTTCTTTTTATCAAATCTATCAAATAATAGTATATGAAGCTATCAAATTCTATTTTAAAAATCTATCAACATAAAGCTCAAATTATTGTCAATTAAACATTATGATAGTGTTTTAAACATTGTATGTGTGTGTGTTTTTATGTACAACACCAGGGTGGGGCACAGAAATAAGAAAAGATATTTTGAAGAGGGTAAGAAGGGCAGTTTTACATTAACCATGACACCGCTCCCCGAAACCTCCACAGCCTATTGCAGAGAGAGATACTGTCTGCACTGTGAAAGAGGGGTGAAGTGATTGATTACTCAACTTTGCTACAGACTCCAGGACCAGTTCTGCCTCAGTGAACCCTGGCAACAAACCATTCCTCTCAGACACAGTCTCCAAGCTAGCCCTGACAGCCTCAGGTTCCAGGCCTGCCTCTGTGCCAGGTCAGTGCCCACAGCCCTAGGTTCCAGGGTAGCCCCCATGGATTCAGGACACAGGTCCACTATTGTAGACTCAGATTTCCAACCCCCACCCCGCAACACCCATCCAGGAAACAATAAAGAAAACAATCTTATTTACAATCACATAAAAAAATACTTTTACAGATAAATTTAACCAAGGAGGTAAAAATATCGAAACATGTGAAAGTATGTAACATTGATTAAAAAAATTTAAGATGACACAAATAAATGAAAGATATTCCATGTTCAAGAATTGGAAGAAGTAATATTATTAAAATATCCATAGTATCCAAAGCAATCTGAAGATATTTTTCCCAGAAATAGAAGAAAAAAATTCGAAAATTGTTATGAAACCAACAAGGATCTCGAAAGCAAAGCAAACTCTAGTAAAAATAACAAAGGTGAAGGTATCAAAGTATCTGATTTCAAAATATACGACAAAGGTATAGTAAAAAAGAATGGCACTACCATAAAAACAGCCACATAGATTAATGAAACAAAATAGAAAGCCCAGAAATAAATTCGGCATTTACAGTCAATTCATCTTTGACAAAGTTTTCAGTAATACACAATGAGGAAAAGACAGTCTCTTGAATAGTGTCAGAAAAATTAGATATCCACATGTGTAAGAATAAAATTGGATCTTTATATTATACAACACACAGAAATAAATAAACTCAAAAATCAATGAAAGACACATAAGACCCAAAACTATAAAACTCCTGAAAGAAAACACAGAGAAAAAGCTTCTCGACATTGATCTAGACAATGATTTTTCAATATGACTCCAAAAGCAGAGGCAACTAAAGCAACGATAAACAAATGGGATTGCATCAGATAAAAAGCTTCTGCACAGCAAAGACAATCAACAAAATGAAGAGACAACTTACAGAATGGGAGAATACATTTGCAAAGCATACATCTAATAAAAAGTTAATATCCAACATATGCAAGGAATTCAAGCAACTCAAAAGAAAAAAACAAAACATTCTGATTTAAAAATGGGCAAAACACCTGAATAGACATCTCCTAAAAGAAGACATACAATCAGCCAACAAACACATGAAAAAATGTTTAACATCTCTAATTATAAAGAAAATACAAGTTAAAACTGGAATGAGATATCACTTCACACCTGATACAATGGCTATAATCAAAAAGAAAAATAATAAGTGTTGGCTTAAGATATAGAGAAAAAATAACCTTTGTACATTGTTAGCGGGAATGTAAATTAGTATATACATTATAGAAATAATTGAAAATTGAACTGCTATATAATTCATCAATGCCACTTCTGGCTACCTATTCAAAGGAAATAAAATCAATATCTCAAAGACATATCTGCAATTTCATGTTTATTAAAGCATTATTCACAATAGCCAAAATGTGGAATTAATTAGGATGTGTATTGTCAGATGGTGATAATGAGTAATGCATTGATATTGTTGGAAACCAATGTTCTTACTGTTGTAAAGGGAAACTGGAGAGAAGCAAGGAAGTAATGCAGTGATAAAATTTAATCCATATAAACTGATAATTTTTAAATGATTATATTTATTTTTTTAGTTTTGATACCAAATGGGTATCCAAATCAATAATAGCTAATTCACAATGGACTTATGTAATGTCTGTGTATGGGGTTTTGAACACGAACACCGTTTTCTACTAAAAGGGACCAGGACTCCTTTATGAGTTGGCTGATTCCAGGTTGTGTAGAAAATACAAGGTAATCCTGGAATGTCAAGTTAGGTCTATAAACAAGAAAATATTTAGAGCAAAAATAAACAACTCATTAGAAGAGATAGAAAACAAAATTTAAAACAGTACAGGAAAAAAGAATGTATATGGGAAATCATAACATGGAGACACATCAAAATAACACAGGTACTAACTTGAAAGAATTACTGCTAGCTGAATGTGGGATAATTTGAACATCAAAAGAGATAATGACTGTACTGATTTTAAGCTTAAAACCAGTACTGAAGCTACTGATTGATTGATTGACTAAATTATGGCACACTCACACACTGAAGTGCCATACAACTCTGTAAAAATAAGAAAAATCTTTATGGATTTTAGGCTTAAAACCAGTACAGTAATTACTATACTTAAGAAATGCAAGAATAAACAATTCCACAGTGATAATATTAAAAGGAGTTATTTTTTCTAAAGAATCCAGCTAATAATATAGAATGAATATCATGATTTTACAATCACTTTGCAATTGATGATGCAGGCAAAGAAAAAAAATACCCACAGATTCTTGAAGTTACCCTACAGATTAGTTACTAATTAAAATAGAAGAAAGATGATTTCATAATGGAGAAATCTGATAGACAATAACTTAACCAAGCAATTAAACAACATTATAAATAATGGAATTAAACTGATACAGAATACATTCTGTGTCTCTTGATGTAATTCATTGGAAAGGCAGGGTATCTCTATGCAGAACTTTGCTAAAAATATTTAGCCTGAATTTAGTAATTAGAAAATAATAACAGACCAGGCACAGTGGCTCATACCTGTAATTTGGGAAGCCGAGGCAGGAGGATCACTTGAGGCCAGGAGTTTGAGGGCAATACAGCAAGACCATGTCTCTAAAAATATAAGATAAAATAAAATTAGCTGAGCATGGTGGTGTGAACCTATAGGTCCAGCTACTTAGAAGGCTGAGGCAGGAGGATCACTTGAGCCCAGGAGGTCAAGGCTGCAGTAAGTTGTGATCATGCCACTGTGTTCTAGCCTAGTTGACAGAGAAAGACTATGTCTCAAAAAAAAAAAAAAAAAAAAAAGACACATGAGAACTAAATGCAGTATGTGTTCTTGATTGAATCCTGAATTTCTAAAGAAATCTATAACATATACTTTTGAAATTCTTAGAATAACCCTCCAATTTTAATATGGACCTTAAAATAAATATTATTTTCAACAACAAAGGAAAAAATAATTAACAAAGTGAAGAGATGACCTATGGACTGGAAGAAAATATTTGCAAACCATATATCTGATAAGGGGTTAATATCCAATGTAAAGCAAGCAAAAAACATAAGGCCCAAAAAAATTTAAAAATGGGTAGAAGTTCTGAATAGAAATTTCTCAAAAAAAAAAATAAAATTGGCCAAAAGATACAAGAAAAGAAGTTCAATATCACTAATTATTACAGAAATACAATTTAGTATCCAAAGGAGATAGATAGCCCTTTCACACCTGTTTGAATGGTTATTATCTAAAAGATAGATAGATAGATAACAAGTGGTGTCAAGGATGTAGAGAAAGGGTAACTCATATACTGTGGGTAGGAAAGTAAATTAGTATATCCATTATGAAAAACAACATAGAGGCTCCTCAATAAACTAAAAATAAAATTGCCATATGATCCAGGAATTCCATTTCTCGGTATTTACTCAAAAGTTTTAAAATCAATGTATCAAAGAGATATCTGCACTCCCATGTTCACTGCAGCACTATTCACAATTACCAAGATATAGAAGCAACCGAAACGTTCATTAGCAGAGGAATGGATTAAAAAAGTGTAGTGTGTATATATATATATATATATATATATATATATATATATATATATACACACAACAGAATACTACTTAGACTTAAAAAGTTAAAAAAAAACTTATCATTTGCGGTAACATGAATGAAATTACAGAACATTATGCTAAGTAAAATAAGCCAGGCACAGAAAGACAAATATGGTCTCATTTATAAGTGGAATCTAAAACAATAGAATTCAAAGAAGCAGAGAGTAGAATAATGGTTATCAGAGGCTGAGGGTTTGGGAGCAATGGTAAGATCACGGTCAAAGGCTCCTAAGCTTCAATTAGGAGGACTGCTTTTTTTGGTGGGGGATATACCGCACAGCCTCATGAATACAGTGAACTGAAATGTATTATATATATTTGCATTTCAAAATCTCTAAGAGAGTGAATTGCAAATGTTCTCACCACAAAAGATAAGCATTTGCTGTGGTGAATATGTTAATTACATTGATTTAATTATTCCACATTGTATTCCTCAATCATTGCATTGCTTTTACCCAATACATAGATACAACTATAATTTGTCCAATTATAATTAAAATATAAAAATTAAAATTTTTTCTGGTTGTAAAGTAGTATTTTTTTGCCAGGGAGAAGTATATATGATGGCACTCCCAAACCGAGGGCATCCTATAAAATAATTGATCAGTACTCTTCAAAAGTTGTTAGGGATATAAAAGGAGAAAAAACTAATGTGCTGCCACAGATTTGAGAAGTCTAAGAAGACGTGATGAATAAATTAAATCTTGGACCAGGAAAATTTTATTTCAGTATAAAATTATTTCAAAATATAAAGTATAAAAACATTAAAAATACCAATGAATTACAACTCAGAGTCATTTGCTATTGATTACTTGGAATTTTAGTATCAGTCTTCAATGTATTTTTTTTTCTTTCTTTTTTTCTGAGACAGAGTCTCACTCTGTCACCTAGGCTGGAGTGCAATGGTGCAGTCTCGGCTCACTGCAACCTTCGTCTCCAGGGTTCAAGTGATTCTTGTGCCTCGGCCTACTGAGTAGCTGGGATTACGGGTGCCCGCCACCATACTCGGCTAATTTTTGTATTTTTACTAGAGATGGGGGTTTCACCATGTTGGCCAGGCTGGTCTTGAAATCCTGGACTCAAGTGATACCCCCTGCCTTCATTTCCCAAAATGCTGGGATTACAGGCGTGAGCCACCAGGCCCCACCTTGAATATTTAAAAAAATCATCATGTACCATGCTTCAGTATTTAAAGTCAATGAAGTTAAAAAAAATACCTAACATGTCTGAAATTATCGATAGGAGAATTAAGCAATTGACAGACTGTTGTTGAGTTACGAATGGTACATAAAAGTTAAGCAACCAAAAAAAAAACAATTATTAATGCCAGGTAAAATTTAAAGATAATTCTTCTGTAAAATAAATTTAATTGAATAAGGTATAGCTCTGTTGTAAATAATATTTACATACATAATAACATAATCACTTGATGTGTTTATATTATGTAACCAAAATTAGGATTCAGCTATATGAAGAGAATGAATGAACTTGTGATGTTGTGTGAAGTACAGGAGATAAAGTACTAAATCTCCATCTAGCATACTGGAAAATTAATAGATATTGTCCAAAATGGAAAAGCAAAATATAGGGTTCAAAACGTGTTACATAGAGATCTTCAGTAAATACCAGAGGAATCAGATTGAGAGTTTAAAGTGATTGCCTTAGAGCAGACCCTGCAAATTTTGGGAGTGAGCATTGATATTGTTTATTATAAGAAGCTTAATATTAATAATAGCACCGGAGTCATTAAAAATTCACTGTATTCACTTATTTTTGGTTGGTTGCTCTCAAGTTCTGGAGCACAGCTGTTATCCTAATATCTTTCTGCATTGTATTCCTGTGGGTTCCCAGCAGCCATTTTTGTTTTAAATATTCTGTTTCTTGGACCCCATATCTTGCTCGGTCTACTCTCTCATTTTGGTAGAAACATCATTGAGTAGATTCCTGAAAAACTTTAACATTTTGATACATTCAGAAAAAAATCAATACTCTAATTTCTCATTTGATTGATACCAAATTCTAAATTAGAAATTATACTCCTTCAGAATTTCACAGGCATTATTCTGTTGATTTCTAACTTCTAGAAGTGATGCTGAGAAATTTCAAACTCATCGTAATTTCTAACCCTATGTATATCAGTTGTATGTTTTTTTTTTCTTTCTGAAAGCTTGTTTTTCTCTTTATCTGTTGTGTTTTGAAATGTCACGATATAATTTGGAGTGAGGCTATTTTCATCCAATGCTCTGGGCAATCAGCAGCAGCTTTCAAGATGAAAATCTATGTTCTTTAGCTCTGGGAAAGGTATTGGATGCTTTTTTTATGTCGTTTTTCTCACTTTTGTTTTCTCTATCAGATCTTACAGAAACTTACATTATTTGGATATTAGATCTCCTGGCCCGATGTGCTAATTGCCGTATCTTTTTCTTTGTTATGTTTTCCCATGTATGTTCTCTTTTCTCTACTTTGTTTAACTTTATCTTTTCTAGTGAGTTGTTTACTTTTGCCATAATATTTTTAATTCTCAAGACTCCTTTTACTCAAAAAGTTTTTAAAAATTGTATTCTGTCTTGTTTACTGAAATGATTTTTTTCCTTATGAGATTATTAGTGATACTTTTTATTTTAGAAGTTGCTTGTTTAATCTCTGTTTCCTTGCAGATGCTTTGTATTTATTGTATTGTTTTCAACTCTGTCTGGTGATTCCTAGTTGCATGTTCAAGATTCCTAGTTTCATGTTCAAGAGCAAGAGGATGACAATCTGTTTCAGTCTATGAAAACATATATGAGACTAGCCAGTCTTGGACTTCACTCTGATGTAATTTAACCAAGCTGTTTCCTTGAGGGAACCTGATATTAATATCTTTACATCTTCCCTTTTCTGTAGGCTACATTTCAAAGACAGATATGTTCTGATCTTGCTCCCAATCTCTTTCAATCCAGAGTCCCTCTGGTAAATATCCACAAGACAATAAACTTCTGATCTGCTAGAGCGAGTGGGGGCAACTGCACATCTGTCTAGAGGACGGAAAGGAATCTGGGGCCTATTTATTCAAAAATGTCTAGAAAATCACCTGGATTTTAGTCTGAGTTTCGACTTGAGAGTTACCTGTAGATACCATTTCTTTAGTCTTTTGCTAGTTCTGCAGTGTGGATTGCTTTGTGCATTTCCTTAGTTAAAACTAAGCTCTGATTTTTTATCTTGCCCAAATTCCTACCTAAGGGGTCTAGGGAGTCATGCCGTACAAACTGTAAATTCTCATCAGATGGGTTTTATTTGACCCTATATATTATGACTTACTTTTCAATCTGACTCTGGCATAACATTACGAGACAAGGAAAGAAATATTTAGCCCCAAAATGTATTTCCTTACTATACCTTGAAATTGCCCTGCAAAGTCTGTTGTGGGAAAAATCCACATTCTATAGATAATCTCCTTTCCCATTTGTTTTCCTTCCTCTCTTCCCAGATCTAGGAGATAATCAACTAAGAGCCAGGCACCCTTTTAAGTGAGATAAGAAACAATTTACAACCTGCTCTCTCTGAAGTCTCCGATCTGAGAGCTTCCTCTGCACAATAAAACTTGGTCTCCACAATCCTTTATCTTTAACCTGAACATTCCTTTCTATGGATACCCGGTCTTTAGACAAACTCAACTGACTGTCAACCAGAAAATGTTTAAATCTTCCTATAGCTGGAAGCCCCCGCTTTGAGTTGTCCTGCCTTTCTGAACAAAACCAATGGATTTCTTAAGTGTATATGATTGACGTCTCATGCCTCCTGGAGCTATATAAAACCAATCTGTGCCCCAACCACCTTGCACATGTTCTCAGGACCTCCTAAGGGCTGTGTCATGGGCCATGGTCACTCATATTTTGCTCAGAATAAATCTCCTAAAATATT
Source organism: Homo sapiens (assembly GCF_000001405.40). Taxonomy (NCBI): domain Eukaryota; kingdom Metazoa; phylum Chordata; class Mammalia; order Primates; family Hominidae; genus Homo; species Homo sapiens. The sequence goes on from NC_000002.12 coordinate 52,193,249, forward strand.
TACAGAGTTTGACTCTTTTCATTGACATTAGCATTGACTGAAGATTTCGCTTCCACAGGTTTGCTAAATTGCTTATTACTTGACCTTCTATTAAGCAGCTTTTCAATTGTTACTGCTGTAAGTAATTGTAACTGCTGTTACTTTCTAATTCAATTTGTCACTCTGTGTTCATGCCTTTTAAAAAATTTTCTTAATTATTGTTATTTAAGTCAGTGTAAAAGAATATACAAGTGAATTCATGTACTTAAACAGCCATATTTATCTGAAATTCTTAGAAAGTTTCTTGAGGCCTGAATTAGTTGTCATTATAACTCATGATTTTCTCTTATCCTGTGGTCAGTCAGCCTCATATGCATGAGTCCTTAGGAATCAAGCAAGCAAAGGAATTAGATTGTTAGGGCCCTTCAGAGAACAGAAAGATGTTTTATGACTTCGAGAAAAAGGTAATTATAGTACGGAAATACATACGTGAAAGGACTTACAGATCTTAACAATCCCAGGGTGAGAATGATATGACTTCTGTGGAACTGATTACTGCTATCTTGCCGTATTAACGGTACTTAGTGAAGCAATTGACAATTCCTCAACCACTCTATGGAAAGGCAGAAGTGGAAGGAAATATTGCTTGTGGGCAGAAATACATATGCACACTTACTTACCTTTATACTCATGCACACAAAACGAGGTTTCAGTTAACAAGAGAACAAATGTACAAGGAAGCTCTCATAAAATTAAAATGGAGCTAAAAAATTCCTATTGCCTAGTGACGTCATAGTCATTGTAGTGTTGTAGCACAGTGCACTAACTTTTCCTGACAACTATTAAAGAATAAAAAGTTTATAAAAGTTCAAATAAGATGCCAATATCTCATCAGTTTCACTTCCTCCTTCCTTACAATGATTTACAAATAAAAAATACAGTCATTAAAAGATGGTCATGAGTGGTTTAACAATGGGGATTCTTTCCGAGAAATCCATCATTTGGTGATTTTGTCATTGTGTGATCATAGAGTATACCTACATAAACCTACATGGTAGAGCCTACTACATACCTGGGCCATGTGGTGCTGTCTATTGCTCCTAGGCTATAAACCTGTGTGGTATGTTACTGTACTTAATACTGTGGGTGATTGTATCACAATGGTAAGTATTTATGTATCAAAATATATCTAAACATAGAAAGGGTACAGTAAAAATGCAGTATGAAAGATTAAAAATGCCACACCTCTGTAGGGCACTTACCATGAATGAAGCTTGCAATAAAGCAAGTTGTTCTGGGTGAGTCAGTGAGTGAGTGGTGAGTGAATATGAAGACGTGGGATGTTACTGTACACTACTGAAGACTTTATAAACACTGTACACTTAGGCTACATGAAATTTATAAAAAGATATTTTTCTGTGTTCAATAATTAATAATCTCAGCTTACTGTAACTTTTTTATTTTATAAGCTTTTTTAACTTTTTGACTCTTTTGTAATAACTTAGCTTAAGACGCAAACATATTGTACAGTTGTAAGAAATATTTTTTCTTTATATCCTCATTTTATAAACTTTTTCTGTTTTTAAATTTTGAATTCTTTTGTTCTTTACTTTTCAAACTTTTTTGTTAAGAACCAAGACAAAACACACATATTAGCCTAGGCCTACACAAGGTCAGGATAATCAATATCTTCCACCTCCATATCTTGTCCCATTGGAGTATTCAAGGGGAATAACAAGCATAGAGCTGCCATCTCTTATGATAAAAATGCTCTTTTCTGGAACACCTCCTGAAGAACCTGCCTGAGGTTGTTTTATATTTACCTTTTGTAAATAAGGTGGAGTACTCTCTAAAATAACAATTAAAAAGTATAGTATAATAGATACGTAAACCACTAACATAGTCATTTATTATTATTATGTACTGTACATAATTATATGTGCTACAGTTTTTTAACTTTTATTTTAGGTTGGAGGTACATGTGCAGGTTTGTTACATAGGTAAATTTATGTCACATGGGATTGTTGTACACATTATTTTGTTGTCCAGGTACTAAACCTAGTTAGTACCCTATAGTAATTTTTTATGCTCCTCCACTCTCCACCCTCAAGGAGGCTCCTTTGTCTGTTGTTCCCTTCTCTGTGTTCTTTAGTTCTCACCATTTAGCTCCCACTTATGAGTGAGAACATGTGGATGGAGCTGGAGGCCATTATCCTTAGCAAACTAACACAGGAATAGAAAACCAAATACTGTATGTGCTATAGTTTTATATGACTGACAGACAGCACAATAAGTTTACACCAGAATTACAAAAAATATGTACATTGCACTATGACTTTATGACAGCTGCATCATTAGGCAATAAGAATTTTTCAGCTCCACTATGATATTGTAAAACCACCATAATATATGTAGTCCATCACTGACCAAAACTTTGTTATGAGAAGTGTGATTACATATACATACATATAAATACCCTACCACACATAGATATACATACACAAACATGTATAAATGTATATTTGCGTGAATTATATATAAGCCCATATATGTGTATGTATAAGCCATATATTCGTATGTATGAATATGATTTGTTTTAAACATTTGGCTCACAAAATTATGAAGGCTGGCAAGTTTGAAATATACAGGACAGGGCAGGCCAGCAAGCTGAAAACTCAGGCAGGTGTTGATATTCCAGTCTTGAGTCCAGAATTTTTTGCGTGAGCCAGCAAGCAGCAAACTCAGACAAGACTTTGTTGTAGTCTGAAGTTTGAAACCTGAAGGGAATGCTGGAAGGCTGGAAACTCAGAAGGGATTTCTATTTTGAAATATGGAGGCAGAATTTCTTTGCCCTGGGAAACAAGAGATTATGCTCTTAAGGTCTTCCATTGGTTGGATGAGTTCCTCTCATTATTGAGGGTAATCTACTTTACTTAAAGTCAACTTATTGTAGACATTATTGTAGACTAGTCACACCTACAAAATGTCTTCACAGCAACATCTTAGCTGAGTTTGAGCAAATTACAGGGCATAGCCTAATCAAATTGACCCATTTAGTTAACCATTACATATCCTATCCTTCAAAATGTCTGCCTTTTGATGATCAATTCTGCTAAATGTAATAAGAAATCAATCAAATCTCAATGACATTTTTAAAGATACTGATTTAGGTCATAAAAAATGAAGACATAAAACATTTCCTATATGCAGAAAAAAATGATTGTCACTGTAGATAATCCAAAGAATCTACGAAAAAATCTCCAAAACCCAGAACTAGAACCTAGCATTGTCACAGGCTACAAGGTAAATGAACAACAATCGATCGTAATTCTACATACAAACAGTAAAACATTTGAGTATAAAGCCAACAAAACAGGTGTGAGACATGTATAGGGAAACTAGAAAATTTTGATCAAAGATATTAAAAATGACCTAAATTAACTGAAACAGATGCAATGTTTATGAATTAGTACACTCAATACAGTAAATATGTCAATAGTCGAATTGATATACAGGTCCAATGCAATTCCTGTCAAAATCCCAGCAAAATTTATATTCATGTAGACAATGTTGCTCTAAAATTTATGTGAAAAGACAGAGGAACTTGTAAAACTAAAATAATTTTGAAAAACAAGAATAAGGTGAGAAGAATTAGTCTACTCAAGTTTAAAACATGTTTAGCTGTAGCCATCAAGAATATGTCGTATTGTTGGAGCGATAGATACATAGCTCAATGAAACAGAATAAAGAACCCAGAAATAGACCTATACAAATATATAAACTAATTGTGGAGAACAATGAAGAAGCAATTCAATGGACAAAAGATAACCTTTCAACAAATACTGCAGGAGCAACGGGATATTCATAGGCACAAAATTAACTTTAGTCAAAGGCCCACACATTATACAAATATTAACTCAAAATGGGTCTTGGATTTAAATGTAGAATGTAAAACTGTGGGAGATCATTCAGAGTGGCAGAAGAAATTATAGGAATAGAAAGAAGCAAACCTTCCTGGAAGGCCAGGGAGTTTTGCATAGCTTCAGATAGTTTGGATGAAGGCAGCCATAGTCTCCTTGCATATCTCCAAACATAGGGGATAATCTTTGATATATATGGGATGGCAAAAAGTTATTTGACTGAATACCAAAAGTATGATTCATGAAGGAATAAATTGCTAAACTGTACTTAATCAAAATTTAGATTATTTGTTTGCTCTGTTCAAGATCCCATCAAGAGGTGCAAAAACAAGCTATGATTTGCTGACACATATCTATCAAAGGACTCACGTCTAGAATATATATTGCAGTGTAAAATGATGCAACATTTCTGGAAAACAGGTTGGTGATTTTTCAAAAAGCTAAATGTACAACCACCATACAAGTCAGCAGTTTCGCTCATGGACACTTATTCCAAAAAATAGTAAAATAATAAAATTATGCTAACACAAAAGCTTGTACATGAATGCTTGTAGCAGAGTCATTCACAACCGTCAAAAGCTGGAAACAACTCAAATGTCCTTCAGTAGGTAAATTATTTAACAAACTGTGGTGTGTACATACAATGAAATACTGTTTGGCAATAAAAGTAAATAAGGCTGATGAATCCTCACAGAATTATCTCAAGTGAAATAAAGATAATCCCAAAGTTTACATACTGCATAATTCCATTTAAATAATGTTCTTGAAATTATGATATTATTTCAAGATATTATAGAAATTAATATATTTGATAATGTAGATAAAATTATATTATAGATATTATTATCTGAAAATATTAAGAAATGATAATGTAGAAATGGAGATTACTTCTGCATACATATAATTATAAATAATTTTATAATGATAATGGTATTATAGAAATTCTGATAATATTATAGAAATGGAGAACAAATTGGTGATTGCCACAGAATAAAGGCATGGAATTGGGATAGGAGGGAAGTGAGTGTGGTTTTAAAAGGGCTACATGAGGGATCGCATCATGGTGGAACTGTTCAGCATCCTGACCCTATCAACGCTAATAATGTATTTATTTGTGATACTGTACTATAATTTTGCAAGATATACTATGAGGAGAATTGGGTAAAAGACACACAAGATCTCTGTATTTTTCTTCACAACTGTTTGCAAATTTACAGTTATATCAAAATTAACAGTTTAATTTTAAAAAATGAAAGATCTTTGATGATAAAAATCAAAGAAAACCAAACAAACTGGAGATATGAAAGAAGTACATTGAAAGATTCAATATGAATAAATTTCAATATTTCCAAATTAATTTTTAGATTTAATGCACTTCCAATTATAATTTCAGCCCAATGTTTTTATAAAGGCAGGCTAATTGTAAAATCTATATGAAAATGAAAGGTATCTAGAATATTTTAAGCAATTTTCATAAGTAGAACAAAGATTGAGGCCTTATACCACATCACTTTTAGAGCTAATCTAAAGCTACAATAATTAAGACTGTGCAGAAGTAAGACTAGTATACATTAATAGATCATGGAAACAACAACAAGAAATATTTATTCAGTTATTTTATTTTTAATAACATTACCAAAACAATCCAGTAAGAAGAAAATATTTACCACAAGGATGCTATAACTAAATGTCCGCAAGGAAAAAAAGGTAACTCAACCACTATCCAATATCATACACATAATTTAATTTGAGATAAACCATATTTTTAAAATAAAAATAAAAATAAACTTTCTACAAGAAAACATGATGTGATATATTTATATGTGATATATAAAATGTGATATATTTATATAATAGGGTACTGTTAATAAATGAAAGGGACAATTGCTAATAACAAAAAGAAAGATGAATTGCAGAAGCAGTATGCTAAATAAAGCAAGTTCTATATGAAAGAGTACACACTGATTTCATTTATATGAAAGTTTTTTAACTGGCAAAACTAATGTATAAAAAAATCAGAGAAGTCATTGCCTCTGGTATCAGGGTCATTAAAAATCCCACATAAATGGCATTATAAAATTCTCAGAAATAATGGTATTGTATCATATTTTGATAAAGATTTGAGTTTCACAGGTGTTTATACTTGCTTAAGCTCACCTAGTTGTGTGCTGGAGTTTGTATAATTACCTACATGTAATTTTGTTTTCTAAAAAATAGCTAGCTAAAAAATATCCACAAAAGAATGATGCCACAAGATGGCCAGGTAGAGGCATCTGGAGCTTGTACCCTTCAATAAGAAAGGAACAAATTAAAATAGAAATGAAACATACAAAAGCCTATTAGGTATTAGCCAATTGCTTCACTACTGGGCATAGTGAAGCAGTATTAAGAGGCAAGTGTATAGCAATAAATATATTCATCAAAAAAGTAGAAAGATTTCAAATAAATGACATCATGATGCATTTCAAGAACTAGAAAAGCAAGAAAAAAATGAAACCCAAAATTAGTAGAAGGAAATAAAGCATAAAAATCAGGACAGAAATAACCAAAATTGGGACCACAAAAAAGTAGAAAAGACCAATGAAACAAAAAGTTGGTTTTCTGAAAAGAAAATTAACAAATCATTAGCTAGACTAAGGAAAAAAGAGAGAAGACACAAATAAAATCAGAAACCAAAAAGGAGACCTCACAACTGATACAACAGAAATACAAAGGATTATTAGAGAATATTATGAACAATACACCAATAAATTTGAAAAGGTGGAGGAAATGGATTAATTCCTAGACACATGCAACCTATCAAGATGGAACTCAAAAGAAGTAGAAAACTTGAACAGACCAATCACAAGTAATGCGTTTGAACCAGTAATGTCTCCCAAGAAGAAAAAGTCCAGGAAGGGATGAAGTCACTGCTGAATTCCACTGCAGTTTTGAAGATCTAATACTGATGATTATTCTCAAACTATTTCAAAAAATTGAAGAGAAGGGAATTCTTCCAAACTCATTCTACAAGACCAGCATAATCTTGGTAGCAAAAACAAGGACACGAGAAAAACAAACAAAACAAACAAACAAAACCCTATAGTCCAATATTCCTGATGAACTTAGGTAAAAAGTGCTCAGCAACACGTGAGCAAAACAAATCCAATAGCACATTAAAAAGATCACTGCATCAGTCTATTTACATTGCTATAAAGAAATACTTGAGGCTGGGTAGTTTACAAAGAAAAGAGGTTTATTTAGGCTCATGATTCTGCAGTCTGTGGTGTAGAAGTGTGGTGCTGCTATTTGCTTCTGATGAAGGCTTCAGGAAGCTTACAATCATGATGGAAGGAGATGTGGAGCAGGCGTATCGCATAGTGAAAGCAGTAGCAGAGTCGAGGAGGTGCCCCTGCTACTCTCTTAAACAACCAGATCTCATGTGAGCTATGAGTGAGAATTCACTTATTACCACAAGGAGGGCAACAAGACATTCATGATGGATCTACTCCCATGACCCAAACACCTCCCACTAGGCCCCAGCTCTAACAGTGGAAATCACACTTCAACATGAGATTTGGAGGAGACAAATATCCAAACCATATCAATCATACACCACAATCAAGTGGAATTTGTAACAAGGATGTTCAACATACTCAAATCAATAAACAGGATACAGCCTATCAACATAATGAAGGACTAAAACCATATGATTACATAAAGAGTTTTAGAAAAAGCATTGAAAAATATTCAACATCCCTTCATGAATAAAAATCTCAATAAATTATGTATAAAAGGAATGTACTTCAAAAAAAAATAATGGCCACACATGACAAACACAAAGCTAATATCATACTGAACAAGGGAAAGCTGAACTTTTTTTTTCCTAAGAAATGGACCAAGACAAGCATGCCCATTCTCACCAGTCTTATTCGATACAGTACTGGAAGCCCTAGCCAGAGCAAATAAGGAAAAGAAAGAAACTAAGGGCATCCAAACTGGAAAAGAGGAAATAAAATTATCCCTGTTTGTAGATGAAATGATCTGATATATAAAAAGCCTAAAGACTCTACCAAAAAACTCTTAGAAGTGATGAATAAATTTGGTAATGTTGCAGGATACAAAATCAACCTATAAAAATCAATAGCATTTCTATACATGAACAACAAACTGGCTGAAAAATAAATTAAGAAAGCAATCATTTACAATAGTTTCAAAAAAAAGCAGTAAAATACTTAGAAATAAATTTGACCAAGGAGGTGAAAAATCTCCGCAAGAAAAATTACAAAACATTGAAAAAAGAAATAGAAAAAGACAGAAAAATTGCAAAGACATATTACATTAATTGAATGGAAAAATTAATAATTAATGTTAAAATGACCATACTATTGAAAGTGATCTAGAGATTCAATGAAATGCCTATCAAAATGCCAGTGAAGTTTTTCATAGAAATAGAAAAAAAATCCTAAAATTCATATGGAACCACAAAAGACCTACAGTAGCTAAAGCAATCCTGAGAAAGAAAGAACAAAGCTGGAAACATCTCACTACTAGATCTCAAAATATTCTTCAAGTTTATACTAACCAAAACAGCATGGTATTGACATAAAAACTGCCACATAAACCCACGGAATTAAATAGAGAACCCATAAATTAATCCACATGTCTACAGTTGACTGATTTTTGACAAAGGCACCAAGAATATTCACTACGGTAAGGACAGCCTCTTCAATAATTGGTGCTGAAAAAACTAAATATCCATATGCGGAAGGAAACTAGACCCCCACCTCTCACCTTATACAAAAATCAACTCAAAATGGATTAAAGACCTAATTTTAAAACCCCAAACTATAAAACTACTAGAAAAAAACACAGGGGAGATACCTCAGGACACTGATCTGGGAGAAGGTTTTATGAATAAGATTTCAAAAGCACAAGCAATAAAAGCAAAAATAGGATTATATAAAACTAAAAGCTTCTGCACAGCAAACGGAAATAATCAACAGAGTAAAAATATTACCTACAGAATGGGAGAAAATATTTTCAGACTATTCATCTGACAAGGAATTAATTTCCAGAATATACTAGAAACTCAAACATTTCAACAGCAAGAGAAATAAACAATTTGATTTAAAAAAAAATGGGTAAATAGCACCATTCTCAATATGAAATCAACCCAGTTGGTTGGATATGGTGGCTCATGCCTGTAGTCCTAGCACTTCGGGAGGCTGAGACAGGCGGATTGCTGGAGATCAGGAGTTCAAGACCAGCCTGGGAAACATGGTGAAAACCCATCTCTACTAAAATACAAAAAAAAAGCTGGGCATGGTGGCACATGCCTGTAGTTCCAGCTAGTAGTTCCAGCTACTCAGGAGGCTGAGGCACGAGAATTGCTTGAACTTGGAAGGCAGAGGTTGCAGTGAGCCAAGATCATGCCACTGCACTCCAACCGAGGCCACAGAGCAAGACTCTGTCTCAAAAAACAAACAAACAAACAAAAACAAAAACAAATCAACCCAAGTGTCCATTAACAAACAAATGGACAAAGAAAACATGGTATGTATACCACATTTTTAATGGTCAAATGGAATACTATTTGGCCATAATCAAAGAACAAAATCATGTCATTTGCAAAGAAAAAAAGGGCAAGTAATCTCAGCAGACATTTATCTAAAGAAGACATACAAATGGCCAACAAATATGTGAAAAATGCTCAATATCACTAATCATCAGGAAAATGCGAATCAAAACCACAATGAAATATCATATCGCCTCATCCCAGTTAGAATGGCTACTATGTAAAAGACCAAAAAACAAACAAACAAACAAATGTACTGGCAATGATGGGGAGACAACTGAAATCTAATACACTGTTGGTGGGATGTTAACTGGTACAGCCATTTTGGACAATGGTATGAAGTTTCCCCAAAAAAACTACAAATAGAACTGTCATGTATTAATAATTCAGCAATCTCTCTGCTGAGTATTTATCCAAAGAAAAGGAAATCTGTGTATTGAAGCGAATTCTTCACCCTCCTGGTTATTGCAGCATGATTCACAATAGCCAGAAAATGGAATCAACCAAAGTTTCCAACAACAGATGAATGGATAAAGAAAATATGAAATGTACACACAATGGAATACTATTTAGCCTTAACAAAGAATGAAATCCTGGCATTTACAACAACACGAATGAGCCTGGACGACATAAGTGAAATAAGTGAAGAACAGAAAGTTAAATACCACATGTTCTTGCTCATATGCAGAAGTTGATCTCATAGAAGGAATAGTAGAACAAAGGTTATTAGAAGCTGGGAAGATTAAAGGGAAGGGGGGAATAGGCAGAGATTTATTAAAGGATACAAAATTATAGCTAGATAGGAGAAATATGTTCTAGTGTTCTATAGCACTGTAGGATGACTATAGCTAACAATAACATATATCTTCAAATTGCTCCAGAGAAGATATTGAATGTTTGCAACACATAGAAATGATAAATGTTTGAGATGATGGATATGTTAATTACCCTTATCTGATCTCACTATATATTGTATGTATTGAAACATCACTATGTATCTCATAAACATGTACAATTATCTCTATCAAAGAATAAGTAATTTTTTAAAAACCCATAACCTAATATTGCATTTCAGCTTATTATATACTTAAGTGTTCATTGTTGAGGTGTATAGATACCATCCTTTTATTTGACATGCATCCTAATAAGATGAATTAATAAATGGATAGATGTATAGGAATGTAAAATAAATATCGGAGAATATTAATAATGGTGGAATATTGGCAATACAATGTATTTTTCTAGGGTTGCCATTAACAAACTGGATGTCTTAATCAAGAGAAATTTGTTGTCTTCCAGTTCCGGAATCTAGAAATCCAAGATGAAGATGTCAGTAAGTTTGTTTTCTTCTGAGGGCTGTAAGAATCAGTTTGATGCCTGTTACCTAGATTCTGGTAGTTTGCTGGCAATCTTTGACATTCCTTGGTTTAAAAGCATCACTCTGGTCTCTGTCTTCTCTTTACATGGAGTACTCCTTGCACATGTGTCTGTCTAAATTTCCCCTTTTCATAAGAACACCAGTCATAATGGCTTAGGTCCTACTCTAAAGACTTCATCTTAACCACTTATGTCTGTGACAACTCTATTTTCAAATAACCTTACATTCTGAGTTACTCAGGGTTAGGACTTCAATGTAAAAATTTTAGGGGACCCACTTCAACCCACAACACATACACATATAATGCTTTAGTGTGAATTTTTCTTGTTAACAATAACTATACATGAAATTTAGGATTTAGAGGTTTTCACTTTCTATGCCACACATTTTTGCATTGTTCACGTTCTTACAGAGTACATGCATGCATACTTATCCAGAAGAAATTTTTCATGGATGATAAATCAAAAGCAATTCAGATATCCAGGAAATATGCTTTCCCCATTAGGCTGTTAATATATTCTGCTTATTTTCATTATTATCATTATTAACTAAGATTATTAAGAATAAACTTATTCTTTGGGTTAAAGGTGTTTGCTAATAAGAGTATCTGAGATCTCATCAGTTACTCATTCACTCAATTTTAATATAAAATCTAATTTTTATTCTATTTATGGATTGATTTTTCCTTTTTTAAATTACTTTAATAAAAGAGAGATTTTATTATAGGGCCTTGCTTTTCTTACTTTTTTTTCAATTAGTGTATTTGGAGCATTCATTCATGTAAGTACAAATATTTCTACTTAAGGAAGCACTGTAGTTTATTTACCCATCATTTAAATTTTGAGTTATTACCAATGCCTCCTAATTCCACACAATCTGTGGAGAATATGCTTGATGCATTTCAGTAATCTTATAGGATGAATTTCCCATAAATAAACTGAAAAATCCAATGATAACCACATAAATATTTTAACAAATACAAATTCTTAACTCAAATTTTAAAAATATCTACTTATTTCTTCACCAGCAGCTCAAAATCCAAAAGTCTTAATATAGATTGATATTAATGCCTAACTTTATAAAGATTTTGTATTCATAGAGAAAAGAAACAGCTTTCCTACATAGCTAATTCTTACTCTATAAATACAAGTTTTATTATTTTATTGTTGGAACTATACATAAATCAAAGTATTTTTAATTGATCTAAGATTCAGTGGCATTATTTCAAGAAGAAACATACGCTGTCTGTTCATATTATTGCTAACGTCACACCAATGGTTTCATTATAAGCAGTTTCTAAATGTATAGAAATGTATAGCTAAAATATACATTTGTATTCTAAACTCTACATCATGGTTCCAGGATGTCTTTATTAAAATAATGAAGTCGTGAGTGATAAGACTGCAGGAATACCAAGACAGAATAAAGGTGTTATCTGTAATTAGATTACATTTTTGCCTTCGTGCATCAAAATGCTTTATAATTTAAATCAAAATTGGCAAGCATTTAAATATCACGATGAGGTACTCACTTTTTACTTAAATACATAAATTAGCATATGCAACGCAGTTTGCTAGTTTGATTATCAGGCACATATTATGCATTATAAAATGCAGTAAAATCTGTCATTACACATTGAGTTGAATGAGAAAATGATTTAGAAGTTTCAAAGTAAAATTATAATAAGCTACTTTTTATTCATATAGAACTTTTTTCCAGTGATGTGCATTACTGATATATATCACATCATAGATATATGATGTGTATACACATATATTGTACATTTACCTCTAAAAAATCCTTTTCACTTCATCCTTGTACATCAGGATATTATTTTATCTCACTACAGCAAAAAGAATAGCAACTATGGAGGAATTTTTTAGTGAGTCAGTGTTAAAAATATTCATTGGTAGCCAATCTCAACATATGTTAAATGCTGGAGTAACTCACTTTCTCACCATCCTATATACATAATAAATTTTAAACAACACACATAATATGATTTTTAATGCACAATTCAATTTTAAATGTGTAAAGAGAGTGTCATTTTGGAAAACATAAATAACCTATGTAAATATTTGCAATTTTTCCTTTTTAAAAAATTTATTAAACATGAGAAATATAGAGGATATTTAGATAATCACCCATTTATTCACCACAAAAAATGAACAAAGATTACCATTTTGCTATTTCAGCTATATCTTTTTATAAAGAAAGTATTGCTATTTTTGCAGCTGACTCTGCCTTACTTTCCCCTACAAGTTAAATCACTCTTCTGAAGCCAGTTGTACATTCCTTCTATCCATGTTTATATAGTTTTACTTCATATGTGTATATTCATAAACAACGTTAGTATTTTTAAATATTGTAACTTTTATATAAAAGATATCATGTTATATGTACTTGGTAATTCCTTACATTTGACCCTTCAATATTCTTAATATTTTTATATTGATATGTATAGCTTTAACTAATGTATTTCACTGCCATATATTTTTTCATTAAATTTGTGTACTTAAATCAACTTACCTGTTTCCAATTGAAGAATTTCTTTTTCCTTTTAAAAATTATTACAAGCAATTGTGTAATGAACATTTCATTAACATTTTCCTGTGTACACGTGCAAATGCTTCTTCTCGTTACAAACTTAAATAAAATAATTTCAAGGTTGTATTAGAGTATGTCTATCTTTATTTTTCTGGGTTTTCTAGTCCCCTTTCCAAATTGGTAAAACTGTAATACAAAATTAAAACAATTTTGTATAGTTGGTACAAAATTGTACCAACTCTACTGCTATAGTTAGTACAAGGAAATTTATTTTTTTCCATGTCTCTGCTAATATGAGGTATGGGAATAATTTTTTAAAATCTTTTTCAATTTGATGGATTTTAAATAGAACATTAATGTTTACATTTCCGTCTCAGTGCTATGGAAGATGGTAGAGATATTCTGCAAATTCCATATAGCCTTCTCCTAGTGTGAATTTCTACTACTGTATCCACAAAAACAGTTCAAAATCTCTAGTTCCAGACAAATTTAAGAAATTTGGCACACATAAATGTTTAGAATATATTTGAGATAGTGGCTTGTAAATAGCAAACTGTCCCCAAATCTTTCATTGAATAATCAATTTATTAATTCTAATATGTGTAGTCCGTTCTTTAACATATTTAGTGCCATTCTTGTGATATATCTAGTTCCATACACATGTGGATTAATTTCTGCATTGTTTTTAATTTGACTCTTTATATCCTGTGTCATAGTTTACTCTTTATATTGCTATTGCATTATAATTATTTCCAATATCTGAAGAAAATCCTCCCAGCCCCCCTTGCTCTTAATATTTTATTTTATTACTGTCTTGGCTCTTTATTTTTTCATATGAAATTTTTGTTAGTCAAATTTCTCATAATAAATCTTCCCATCCAAAACATGATTAGCCACTCTATTTTGTTAAATTTTTGCCTGAATGATATTTTGTTTTTTCTCCATATAGATTTTACATGTATATATTTCAAAGATTATACCTAGACAATTTTAAATGTTGTTACTATTATACAGAGATATTCCTTATAGATTCACAATTATTAATTTTTCCCGTCTTTATATTCAGATATATGAGAAATCTATTTTTGCCTATGTCAATGACATATTTAGCAGTTTAAAAAAGCAGTATGAAAAAAGCAGAAAATATTCTGGAAAGAAAGACAAAACATAAACATAGAAGGCAAATCAGTGGTTGGAGGCAGAATATTGTGTGTGGAGAGGGAGGTTTTTCACAAATGGGAGCATGAGGAAACTTTTGGGATGATGAAATGTTCTTTATGTCAACTGTGTGTGGTAGGAGACAGAGTACTCTATGAATTGCCTAAACCCACAAAACTGTACCCGATAGAGATGGAATTTTACAGTCTGTAAATTTTACAAAGTAAATAACCAGAATGAAGGAAAAATTCAAAATGGAATACGAACTATAACAAATAAATCTACTACTTATAATTAATATAACCACATTGAAGGCATTGGGAAAAGAAAAATTAACCTAAATAAATTTGGGGAATGATATTTTGCTATTACATCATAAGGCAAAAGACAAAAGGACTATACACAATTACTGTAGTCTAGTCAGTATTTTTTTTTTTACCCACGGGTAAACTCACAGGTTTGCAAATCTGAAACTACTTTCAGAAAATACTATGGTTGAATACTATCCACTATTGTGGATAATGAGGGCAGTTTTTTCACTGTCATAGATTGAGGTTACATAAGAAGACTAGAAGGAATCCTATGGTGTGGACTAAAATTGAGGAATTAGCATGAGCACACAGCTTTTCAAAATATATACAGTTGACCCTCCACATCCATGAATTCCACATCTATGGATTCAACCAATCATAGATGGAAAATATTCAGGAAAAAATGTACTGAACATATACAGACTTTCAAATTGTCATTATTTCCTACACAAGAAACCAGAGCTCATTGGAAGAGTCATTGATTCAAGGGATGGAACAGACAAAAGCAAAATGTGGAAAATTTTGTGATCCCAGAATATAAGGAGGTTTGGAAGGCAGGATGTAGGGAAGGAAGACTGAATTACATAGGAACCACGCTGAAAGAGCTCTCCCTGACCAAAGCTGAAACAATTTGAATAATAAAATAAATGACCATATTACTGGAATAAAACCCAAAGAGTAAATAGCTTTTATACTGACATAATTAATTGTAACAAATAAATAAAGACAAGAGAAGAGACAGCTCTTCATTAAAGAGGAATTTCAATATGTAACCATTAAAGGAATATAGAAAATAATAATTCCAGTTTGAATACCGAAGTAATAATTTTCCCATTCAAGGTTCACTGGTGGTTTTTAAAATTAGTTAGTGTAAGTTTGAGGCAAAACAAGATATTTGCATAGTCTCAAAATATCTTTCTCAAAATGTGCCTTAATGGCACAGGGAAAAATAGTAACTATAGAATTAAAAAAAAAAACAAACCATCAGGTACAACCTAAACCAAGTGATCAAGGTTAACATCACCAGTAATACCATATTTTGATATCATGTATCTACTGATTTGACACACTGAAGGGTACAGGGATCTTAAGATGTTATATTTTTGAGAAAAAAATCATTACCTTAAGGGAATCATAAAGAAACACAAATCAAGGGACATTCTACCAAGTGATTGATCAGTACTCATCCAAGTGTCGAGATCATAAAAATAAGTGGAGACTGAGGAACTATTACAACTTGGGAAAGACTAAGAAGACATGACAACTATATGCAATTTGAGGCTCCAGATTCAATCTTGTAACAGGAAAATAATAATAGCAGAAAAATTGGTAATATCCAAAAAGGGTCTGAGGTTTAGTTAATAGTAGACTATAAATATTAAATGCTTAATTTTAATAATTGAACTATGGTTATGTATGATGTTAACATTAGAAGAAGCAGGGTGGAGATATGTAAGAAAACTATGCATTAAGATTATTTCAACAATAAAAAGCTTTTAAAATGAAGAAGTGCTTTCTGAGTCAGAGATTCTCTATGTACATGGCTAAACCCAGCATCAGAGTTTATACTTTTCTCAACAGGTTAGTGGAGGTTTTAAGAAATCACACACAAATTATCGTCATCCTTATATCCCTTAATCCCTATTTTTTTCCTAAAGTAGTGCCCAGAAAGTATTTTTCGTTGGGCACATCAACCATATTCAAGAAATTATAGCCAGTAGTTCAGTTTAATGCTCCCAAACCGGAAATAAAAAATGGGTCAGAGACTGTCACTGGCTTCCTCTGCCTCACTCTCATTGCCTGTCTACATTCCTCTGATAATTTCTTACAACTTCTTTTCTGGTCTTCAAAAATGTATTTCTAAATCTCTTTTGTGAATGCAAGGATGAGAATATACCCAGTAAGAAAGGTTTAGTCCATGAATTGATAGAATAATAAGAAATCTGAGGAAAGTATTACAAGAGCCATAGAGTCATGCTGAATCCCAGTGCATCTAAAGCTTAACAATCCAAGAAAGTATAGAAAACTCCAACTAGTGTCTCAGTCTTGTTCAGAAAATAGAATAGGTGTATGGGCTTGAGAGTTCTGGTGTTGTAATAACCTAAAACGCATCCTTCCATCCCATTGTTCAAGTATTCATACCTCTTACCTAAAGTGCTATCATTACTTCCTACCTGTTCTGCATTTTATTCAGCCTGTCTTCCCTGTAATCAGTTCACACACACATTGCAGTTGGCATGTTTCCAAATGCTTCAAATGCTTCTTGTTATTAAAATGAAAACAAAATTGTCTAACATACTCTATAAGCCTCTGCATAGTTTGGCCTCATTTTCCTCACCACACACAATCTCACACCATTTGAGCTTCACTGTTCATCTTTCAGTCACTTGAATCTACCCTTCTTTCTCCCACCCTAGTCTTTAAATATATTTCTTCTACCTGGAATGCTCTTTCCTCTGTCTTAATACTTACTAATTTTTCATTCTTCAAATTTAGTTCCTTTATTCAGGGAAAACTTTCTTAACCTCCTTGATAAAACCAAATCTATGTGTAAGAAATTCTAAATACCACGAACCTCTATGTCAGTATGATTAAAACTCCTTTATGTTTACATTGCTTTGCCCCATCATCTGAATGATGTCCATTTTCTTTAAAAACCTCTGAGGGCTCTGAGGTCAAGGATCATGTGAGTTGTTGCTCTGTCACTGGCACAGCACCTGACACAGCACACATCATCAACTCACATGAAGGAATGAATAATATCATTGAGGAGAAAGTGCCCATTGTTTCTTCTATGCTGCTCATCCCAATATGCATTTCCCTTTCACACTCCACTAGAAAAAGTAGAATTAGGTAAATTTGTCAGCCACCAATATGATTTCCCACTATTAAGAATATCCTCGAAACAATTCCTTTCCTAGGCAAGGAACGACCTCCTTACCAAATTCTGCTATTGGCTAATAGGTACTAGTACTTTCTGTTGTAGACAGGGTAATAGATACCTTATCATAGGCCATTCATGTTTATACAAATCCTCTTTCTGTAATCACTTTCTTTAGACAGGATTGGAGGCATGGCATGCAGTTGGAGGTGTTATGGACCATCCATTATATCTGCAATAAAAGTTTTGCCTTTGACCTCAGTTAGCCAACTGTGAGATCTTAGTAGGTCATGCCACTTCTCTGAGGTTTCATGGTCTCATCTTTTATAAGAAGTGGTTGGTCTACATAGTGTCACAGATCTTCACCAAAATATTCTGTGCCAGATGCTAATGAGCTGTAAGAAATTGTCAGTAAGTTGTTTGTCCCTCAAAACACTGTAATTAGACTGCTAAATCATTCACTGTAAAGCACTTGGGGCTTTATAAAAAAAGAACTATTCTAGTAATGCAAAGTAGTTCTGAGGTTGTAAAGATTTTATTATTATTGTAAAAGTGAAAGCGCTGGTTTAGAGACTATTGGTATATATCCTAACATAAAAACAAAACTGAATTTTGAAATAAAATTATTTCAATAATATAAAATTTTATTACTTGTTTACTTATTATCCTATCAAAAGTATCTCTCATTTGTTGATGGTTACAACATTATTCCATAACCACAAATATAGAGCCTACCATATACCAGTTATTATGATGGACACTAGGAATTCACAAAGGAATGAGGCTTTTCCTCTGCACTCAGAGCTAACTTATAAGCTAATAAAGACAAATTAGCATATTATACATGCTGATTCAGGTAAGCATATAGTATTATGAAAGCATGTAGGAGCAGAAAACAGCACAAGTTCAGAAGTTAGTAAAGTTCAACGAAGGCTTTTCACAAGAATTGATATCAAATTGCATTCTTAATAACAAGCCAGATTCTGATCCATAGTTTTTGTTTTCCAGATCCACTTTTATGTCTTCATCCATTTGGGGAAAAATTACATAGATATGAGAGAATTTTACATTCAGCTGACAATAATTACTATACAAATAATTCTAGAGTATAATCTATGTTCTCATTGATGTCACAAATAATGAGGACAGAGAGCTGAAATATAAAATGAAGAAACATAGAACATGTCACTAATGAAAAAGTTGATAACTAGAACACTAATTTCTGTATATATAAACCGTTGTGGGTACTAGAAGATTTCTATGATTATTTAGGGTATCTTAAGCCATGGTGAGTAAAACAAGAAAGAATTCTCAATGGATGCTCACCAGTCAATAATAGAAAGTGGAAGGTGTGTGTGCAAATGCTCCTCTTTGCCATAGTGAGATGATGCCGTGTTACATGACATAAGCAAGCTCCCATTAATTAATGACTCAGATATTTTTAATCCACAAAAGTGTGAAATGTCTCAATATTTCATTAGCCTTTGGGGTTGGTGGGAAAGAGATTAAGAAATAGGTAGAAAAGTTGATTTCCTTCTATACAGCATCTCAAAAGGCATGACATTATCATTCTCATGGATAAAAGGGAAGAATTGATATCAATATTTAAACAACAGATATATGACTTCTTATTCTTATCTGAATGAAATCTGACTATGAGATATATACTTTATTAAAGCAATTACTCAGATTTAACCATTGATAATTTGCCTAAAAATAATTTTCTTATGTTGGCTTTTTCCTTATATCATTTCTGCAAGTAATATTTTTAACTCTCCTGCATAAAAATGCATGAAAAATATAAAATAAACTCAGAAATTAAAGAAGTAGTAATGATGTGCAAATGAATGTTACCTGTCACCCACCCCACCTTCTTCTGCTTAAGGAAGGGATTGCTACTCAGTTATGGCATTATTTATTGAACCCTGATACGGTCTAAATACTTTCAACATAAAAGTGTATCATCAATTGATAATAATTGGTAAAAACGATCATTTTTTATTCTTGGTCAAGTTGGGGTTAAATGGCATATACTGGAGAAGAAAATTCCCCTTTGCATAGTGTTTTTCTAAATGGCTTCAATTAAATTAACCATCAAACAAATACTTCACAGGAACCTTATAACAGTTCTGATACTAAGCTAAGCCCCAGGGATTACAGAACACTCAAGAGATATAAATCTAGTTTGAGACAGAAGATAACCTTCGTGGAATAATTAGAAAGAACTAAGTGCTATGTGGGGCACATATTACTAAACTTATATTCAGAAAGAGTAATCAGTTGGGCTAAATGGATCCAAAAAGACATCAGGAAAATGGTGGAGCTTCAATAAGCCATGTAAACAAGATAGGCTTCAGAAGATGTTCAAATGTGAAAAACGTGTGAACATGTTAAAACAAAGCCATATTACTAAAATACAGGGCAACTCTAAGAAATCCTTTCACTCAAGAAGGGGCAAAAATTGGTCTTAAGAAGCTTCCTGTGATTTCTACTGCCAAGTAACATTGCATAAGGCTCATTTGCAGAACCAAAATGAAAGGAGGCTCAAAGATTTTTTATAGACATGTAAATCAAATTTAAGATTAATATCTTTTAGGAAGAGCCTCCTAACAAGGCTGTAATGAATGTTTACAAAAAATGTAAAAAAATGCCTATTTATAAAAAGAACACTAGCTTTACGGCAATTTCTAAAAAGTGTGTTTGGAAAAATCCCAAAACCAAATTTATCAGACAGATTGCTTATATGCTAAGAGAATTTGTACAATAATGTTATATAATACAGAATATGGCAAAGCTTTATTTTTATTTTTAGTTAGAGAACAGTAAAGAAAAACAAAAGCCCAATAACAAACACTAGATGAAACCAACAACTTATTGAAAAAGACAAGTTTACCTATTCAGTGCCTTCAGTTTTCTATTTCTGAACACACTTATTACTCTGAATCCATAAATGGCAGGTGGAGAATAAAAGGAAAAAGAAGAAAATCTACTCTATGCCTGGCATTTTGTGTAACACTTTAAACGTACTTTCTTGTTTCATTGTAAGGTTAAAGATATATTTTGTGTCTTAGTCCATTTGTGTTGCTATAAAGGAATACCCAAAGCTGAGTAATTTATAAATAGAGGTTTATTTGGCTTATGGTTCTGCAGTCTATACAAGAAGCATGGCACCAGCATTTCTTCTGGTGAGGGCCTCAGGCTGCTTCCACTCATGGCAGAAAGCGAAAAAGAGCTGGTGTATACAGAGTTCACATAGAGAGAAAAAGAAAAAGAGCTGCTAGGGAAGTACCAGAATCTTGGCAGGGTCTCACTCTATCCCCTAGGCTGGAGTCCAATGGTGTGTTCTCAGCTCACTGCAACCTCCACCTCCCAGGTTCAAGCAATTCCCCTGCCTCAGCCTCCTGAGTAGCTGGGACTACAGGAGTGGGTCACCAGGCCTGGCTAATTTTTAGTAGAGACGGGGTTTCACCATGTTGGCCAGGCTGGTCTCGAACTGCTGACCTCAAGTGATCCACATGCCTCTGCCTCCCAAAGTGCTGGGATGACAGGTGTGAGCCACTGTGCCCAGCTGGAAGTACCAGACTCTTAACCAGCTTTTCAGAGATCTAATAGAGCAAGAAGAACTCACTCATTATCGCTAAGACAAGGACAGCACCTAGCCATTCATGACGGATCCACCCCCATGACTCAAGCATCTCCCATTGGGCTCCATTTCCAACCCTGGGAATCAAATTTCAACATGAGATTTGGAGGGGTCAAATATTCAAACCATCGCAATTCTACAGTAAGTGAAATTGAAATTTTACAATGTTAATTATGTAAAATCCACTTTTTTTTATTATATCCTAGGTGAGCTATCTGAAAATTTAAATTTAGCACTTCACAAGGTTTGAATAGGATGAAATTCACAGGCAAAGCACCATCCCAGCTACTAACAAATGATAACTCCTACTTTGGCAGCCAGCACCAGCATAATGATAATAGTTGGCAGGGAGATACTGCAAAGAGAAGACAGAAAAGGGGTCACAAACAAGTAGCAGCTTAGAAAAAATGAAAAGTTTGTTAAACATGCACCAATAAACTTTGGAAGGTTATATAATATTCCTGAAAAGTAGAAGTCTGTGGCATTAACCATTCCTAACATTTCAGGCTAGCTTTGCCATATACTAGTTGTTTTCATTGGGCAAGGTAATTAACCTCTGTCAATCTTAATGTTCTTATTCATAAAACACATAAAATAAAAATAAGTATCAGCAACCTCAGAGGGTTAGTATGAGAATTAAAGGAGATAACTCTTATAAAGCTACCAGCATAGTGTTTAATATGTAAGCACCTCTTAATAAACATTAGTTATCCCTCCTTCTTGTTACATGGTGTAAGGAAGTTAAAGTAGTGTAACAGAAATATTTTTTAAAGATTAGATACCTGAATTCTTTTCCACGTTTAATCACTGATTTGCTGTGTATCATGTTTTGTGCTGTACAAAATGGGAATTGTAGTATTCCCCTTCTATATCTCAGGGGGTCATTATGGAGATTAAAATTGGAAAGCATCCAGTAGATAAGTGCTTTGAAAGTATAAAGAGCTACACTGATATATAGGGCTATAACAATGTAAAGTTTGAGGATCATTTTCACTTTATGGTTTTGGCAGATTAATTTTAACAAATATAAAACAATTGCGATTTTCATTCACTCTTTCTGTTCCCTTATCTGTAGGAGCTCTTCCACAATTATACAGTTGGAATCACTCATTCGATTTTGTGGCCAGTACAAACTTCTTAAATTAAAAAAGTATAAATAAAGGAAATAATTTGTTTCAAAGGCATTGGATTTGTTTTTTGTAATATGTTATCAATAATGACCAAAGTCCATGTGCCCAAACAGATCACCAAACTCTGATCCCATCTGGTGATCAGCATGTAGTCCAGCAAAACCACTAGTCATTTGATACATTCATGGTCTTGTCTCCCTTTTGCACCCATGATAGACATAAGTAGTTCATTACAGTATTCCTACAGAGTGTAAATGCAGCCTCAAGAGGCCTCTTATGATGCACTCGTGGCAGCAACTCCTCAGCAACTTCAATATGCACAGAACTTTTAACTTTATTTTCTAGAACACAGCTAATGCCTTTGGAGGTCTTGATAGAATCTTAAGCAAGGAGTTTCAGGAGAGAAGCCCTCAAATATTAAACATAAAATAAACAATTAGCACTTGCCCCCTCTTTCCTAATTAATATTACCAAGCCAATTATATACTCTGTATCATCCCCTTTGGAAAGAATGTTCAGGGAGAAATACCTGATTACTAATGTGAAAGGAGTTTTGCCTAAATGATGTTGTTCCTGGAGAGGGGACAAATAGGTTACACTTGGTATCATTAGAAATGAAACTGACAATGAAATATTGTAAAAGTCTGACATCATCAGTATTCCCTTCTTTCAAACAAAAAATCTCAGGAATGTCCTTGTCATTTCAGTTCAGCGTGAAATGCTTTTACAGGATATTATCTGTTTCTGAATATTACCTTTCTAGCTCCTTAGTGGTGTACAGAAAGCTCAATGTGCCTTGAAATAGACTTTGCACAGACAATATTTTGGTGAAAAGGGGAAACATTGGGCATATATGCCATAGGCATTTATTGGATGCAAATACCTCAAAAAAAAACTATACCAAGTGCAATCATATACAAGCATGAAAGAGGGACATAAACAGGCCTTCTGGGTAAATGAGTGAGCAGAAAAGCTGGGTCCAGACGAAGGAGAGCAAGGGAAACTTTGGGGTTAGAACATAAAGAGGATCTCAAGCATGATATAAGTGGTGAATGGGTGAAAGTATCATAGCACCCAGTTTGAGATTTTGTCCATGGCTGGCATGGTCCAAATTTATAATTTCTCTGAAAATTTTTTCCAAAGAATATGATAGCTATTGAAATTAATAACTATGTAACAGATTTTAATCAGAGCCAAATAAATTACACAAGGATTATTCACATCTGCCACAGGTTAGTTTTAGATGGTATTTGGAAAAAAAAATGATACCATATGTAGTCTGGTTTTATTCTTCCTTCTGTAATTAACCAGTGCTAATATGGAATAAAAACATGATGCTTGTAGGAATCTCTAATGAACCTGCAATTAATCAGCAAAGGATATCACAAAAGTTATCAAAACAAGAACTAAATATATTAGGTGGAAATAAAATTAAACATTAGGGTTTCATGTAAATGAAATCACCATCAAGCTAGTCCAAATAATTGCTTTACTAATAACTCTTGTTTCCTCCACAGAAGTCAGATTTGTTATCCCTTGCAACTACCATTACAGTAAAAAGGGGTCTGTAAGCAATAATAATATCTTATATTTTATTTTCTGCAAAGCTGATGAAATTTATCAATATCAAATATAGAAACACTTTCCTGGCCATCAAAGTGGGAAAGAGGTTCGGAAGTTTATTTGTGTTTATGTGAATATATGTGTATATATGCAACTCATAAGTATTTTGCCATGTAAGCTTACAGTTAAAGAATTACTTCCTTCTGACACATCTTTCATCTTTAGGATTTCCAAACCAAGAAGAAGTCTGGTTTCTGTTTATATATGCAAGAATATAACTAGGCAGAAATATTCAATAAGAAAATAACTCAGTAAATGTTCTAAGAAATGATAAGATACAGGAAAAACTACATAACATAATATTAGAAGACTATTTCTTTAGAAGCCTCAAATAGCCAGACCATTTAAATTTTTAGGTTTGAAATGGAAAAAGCATGCAGACAAAATTATTAGTAGGAAAGAATAAATTTATGTCTCTTATTTTTTTCTGATACTTTATTCATAGGACCAGCAATGCTAGAATTTAAAGGTGATTTAATCTGGCCGGGGGTTGTGGCTCACACCTGTAATCCCAGCACTTTGGGAGGCCAAGGCAGGCAGATCATGAGGTCAAGAGATCGAGACCATCCTGGCCAACATGGTGAAACTCCGCCTCTACTAAAAATACAAAAATTAGCTGGGTGTGGTGGCACATGCCTGTAGTCACAGCTACTCAGGAGGCTGAGGCAGGAGAATCAGGCAACAGAGCAAGATTCCATCTCAAAAAAAAAAAAAAAAAGGTGATTTAATCCATATATCCTGTTAAGTTAATCTTAAACCTTGGCTTTCTCACAGAAACTGTGTAGGTGATATGTGTCACAGCTAAGCTCTGGCACACTAATTAATTAAATTGTCATCCTGAGCTTTACCCACAAGCCCATCTTTTCACACATTGCTTCAGGACATAAATCTTTAGAGAACTCTGAACACATATTTTTATTTTGTGTATAGTAACATACTTCTTCATCTTCCAGCTCTGAAGACAGAGGGGAAAAATTAAAAATATATTGCTGTATCCCCAGAATGATAGTTTCAGTTTGATGTCACATCCCCTTTGATTATAAGAAAAGATTTTTACAAGTAGTTTTTATAGTCACAGCAATATTTGCCAAACCTCTTACCATCTGTGCCTCTCGAGGAAAATTTAGAAATGTAAGGCTGGTTAAATATTAGAAAATATATTAATGAAATTCAGCACATAAGGTAGATTAATGTGGAGAATTATGTGATTGCCAAAATTAATGCAGGAAGAAAACACATGCAAAATCCAACGTCGGTTGAATGTTCAACATTCAACATCCAGTTTTATATTTCATGGTCATTTACTATATGCTAGTTAATCTTTCAAGTGCTGAAAAAATACCAATGAGCAAAATAGACAATTAAAAATTTCTACCTTCTGGAGCTTACATTCTCAATTAAAAATAAAAATAAGCAAACAAAATAAACCCTATTAGCAACCTATAAAGAAGAAAGAAGTTTCTATACTACCTAAAGGATATTTACTAAGAACTACTAAAAGCCCAATAATTAGTTTGAATGCTGAAAATATTTTCTTTAAAAACAGAAAAAAGATAATGAAGTCCACTAACACTATTTCTATTTCACACTATACAGAATCTCCAAATCAGTCCAATAAGGCAAGAATAAAAAACAAAGCTATAAAAAAACAGAGAAAGAAAAAAAATCTGTCAGTATCCTCAGATGATATGTATGTAGAAAATTCAAAAGAAACCATTTACCACAACTAAAATTAGAATTTTATGGGGACAAAAGCAATAAACAAAACTCAATTACATTTCTATACATCAATTATAAACATTTAGAAAATAAAATTCAAAGAGACTATTTTAATTGCATTAAAAATGCAAAGTAACTGTGAATAAATCTAAATATGTACAAGATCTTATAGACTATCATAATTTGTATTAAAATATACAATGGAAGATTTATATTGATAAATATATATGTATTTATGTGTAGTGTTTAAGTAATTAAAGTTTTACTAGTCTAAACATTTCTTTCCTTCTAAATGAAAACATTTAATGCCATTTGAATGTGAATCTCAATATGTTTTTGGGTGGATAGGTAAGGAGACTTGGCAAGATGTATCTAAAATTTGTATAGAAGAGAAAGAAACAGATCAGCTAACACACTGTTGGAGAATCAAGACCAGATAGGAAAATTTGCTAATTATTATTATAATTTATGGTTATTAATTTTGTTATTAGCATAGGAATAGACAAATAGATCAAGGTAACAAAAGGGAGCTCAATAAAAAACACACATATATATGGAAAGTTGAATTTGATAGGCTTGATATTTCAGATCCCCTAAGAAACAAATGACTTGGGTAACTGGTTATCTATACAGATATGTAGGTAGACAGATAGCTATAGATGAATAGATATTGTCATGGATATGTACAATTTAATTAAGAAGTCAGTTTTGGAATTCATATTTATATCACAACAGGATTCTTAATGAGACATTGGTAATAAATCATAAAGTAAAATACTGATGAATGATAAATTTGGTTTATTTAATATAAAGAATTTATAATCATGAAATGACACCAAATGAAATGGATGAAAATAAAATTTAAAATGAAAATACAGGCCACAAACCAGGGACAATAGTTGCAACACATATTATTGACCATTCGTTAGCACCCAGAAAACATAGAGAATTCTGAGGAATTATTTAGAACAAAAATACAGGAAAATGGACAAAATAAACAAGCAGAAATGTAAAATGTTGAGAAGAATGCTAAGCTCCCATGACAGATAATGAGTATTAGTAGAAATTAAAAATGTTTTAAA
Source organism: Homo sapiens (assembly GCF_000001405.40). NCBI lineage: Eukaryota > Metazoa > Chordata > Mammalia > Primates > Hominidae > Homo > Homo sapiens. The sequence goes on from NC_000002.12 coordinate 52,220,177, forward strand.
AATTCAGCCAATAGAGAAAGGCTATTGCAGTATTTAGTAATGTTATTTGCATGCTTAAAATTGTCCTAACCATCCTACTTCATCAGAAATGCTCTAGATGAACTTGAACACATGCAGTAGGAGACATGTAAAAGACTCATTATGGCAGCATTTTCACACAAACAAAAAAACTGAAAATTAAACAAATGAATAAATGCAATTGTTAACCAGATACAATCTCTTGCGTGTGAGTTGTCCAGGTGCCTGGCATGTTGAACAAAGAATTGAACAAAACACACAAACAAAGCAAAAAAAGAATGAGACAGTGAAAGCAGAGGTTTACTGAAGTGAGAATACACTCCACAGGGTGCAAGCAGTGGAACAAGTGGCTCAAGAGCCCTGGTTGCAAAATTTTCTGTTGTTTAAGTACCTTTTAGAGGTTTCCTATTGGTTATCCTCCTATGTGAATGAAGATTTGGCCTGTGGCCAATTAGAGGCCAAAGTGGATTGGCCCCTGGCCAACCAGAGGTTGGAGTGAGTCCACTGGCCTTATGAAGATGAAGGAACAGCCTGCTTGGCCCACGGCAAACCAAAGGCTGGAGTGTATTGGCACCTTACACAAATGAAGGAGTGGCCCACCTTGGCCCATGGCCAATCAGAGGAACTTTACATTTTTCATTTGTGAGGCAGTGGAAGGTGGGGATTGTAGGAGTAGTAGCCTCTCATCCTTTGTTACTTGGGTGTGGAAAGGTGGGATTTTCCTTTTGATCAGTCCTAGGAAGTCAGCATGAATTGGCCTTAGGTTCCCCACCTCCAGAGCTTATTCTCCTGCCTCACAATGGACGAGTAAATTATGATGCATTCAGACAATAGAATATGATAAAGCAGTAAAAATGAATAAACTGTAGCTACATTTATTGATATGGACAGATCCCAAATTTAATATGGATTTTGAATATTATACTAAAACTAATTAATGAATGTTTCATTAATTTGGATTTCAAATTAATTGGAATTTATGTATTATTTAGAGATACATCAATTAAGTTTAAAGAGTAGTAAAATAACAAAAATTCAGGTCAGTGGTGTTGAGAGACAATCTCTATGCATCTAGCTTGTTTCTGCACATCTTCTGAAAATAAGCACTGACAACTTTTGTTCTGAAATGTATTTTCAAGGATGTCGGTGTAGACAACAGCCTTGAACGATAGAGTATCTCCCTCTGGGGAAGAGGAATATTCTGCTTGGTATCAAGAATGATAAAGATTGTCCTCCTCTGGGGCAAAGACCAGGAAGATCTTCTTGCAGTCCCCTCAAAATATTGTGGTTTTCTAACCTGGAGTTACTCAAGTGAAAGGCAAACCCTCCGTACATAAAATTTCTCTCCAGTATTCACATCATCTTCATGGGACTTAAGGAACAGGTCAACAGGTCGAGGAATGGAAATATGAAATTTATGCTGTCTACTCTGGCATAAGTAATACAGACCTTTGCCTCTGTCCTAGGAATGCTGTGTCTTCTACCAGCATCCACAAAACTATGATAGGCTAATTAAGCTTGCAGGCAGACTAACATCTCTGACCCTTCAGAGTTCTTGACAAATGGAAAAGTCTAGTAGGAAATAGAAGAATGCAATTATGAGTCTCACATGTAGGACTTCTTTTTGGGGGAAATGTTTCATTTATTGCCTTGGGTGGTAAATTCACATAAATATATGTACATTATTGTAAAATGCATAACATAAAGAAAGGCAACTAAATGAAAATTAAAATTATTAATAACCCAGTTTCATTAGAATTATTGCCGCAAATATTTTAAAGTCAAATAATTCCATGGCCTTTCTTTCAGAAAAAAAAATATTTTTTATATATGCTTTAAATAAAGTTATTATTTTACTTTCATATCGATTTAAATAATATTTTAGGTGTCTATTTTTCATCTTTAAATATATTGCTTTTTATATTATAGTTCTTAATGATTGTAGATTGTTATATGGATTTACCATAATTTATTTATTTAGTGAATTTTCTATTGTTGAACACATATTTGGTTTTGTCTTTCATCCATGGCTTCTAATTCATTCAATGAAATTCATACTAAAGTAGCCTCCTCCATGTGCAGCTGCAGAGATGTACACCAGTTCTGGGAATGCGTTAACACATAGCATTAAATATAGCTCAATGGTGACTCATAGTATAATAACACAGGTCAGGGAATGCTGGGTACTAGAGAGTTTAAATATAACTGCTCTAATGACAACAGTCTCCATTGCAAAGAACATATTTGGAAAGAAATTCTCGATGGAATGAATATATATTGTTTTACTCCTAAGAGGATGATGATAGATATGTATGACAAGTATGGTGTCTATACACATCATTCATACTTTGATGTATCACTTCCTTTGGCACATGGGATATTCATGTGTCCAAGCAAAGCAAGAACAAGACAAATCATTGGGAGGACATGGAATGAAGCTTTATATTTTTTGAGCAAGGAATACACTTTGGGTTTAATTTTGACATGTTGAGAAAAAGAAGAGTGACAGGTTTTTTGTTTGTTTGTTTTAATGGAAGAACTGATAATTGGCAAGCTCCTTGGAGAACTGCTAGATGCTATTAACTATGGAAAATCAACCTTACATTAGTTGTAATCAGAGAATGGTGTGAATGTATACAACTATTGGATATTTTAATACATTTACACAGGTAGAATTTAATCTCCTGTTGTTCATAACAGATGACTTTTGGGGGCAGGAAACATGGGACAGACCAGTAAGCAAAGAAGTTATAAGTTGAAATTTTTCTCATTTTAATGACACTGGTTATTTCTCTCAATTAATTCTACAAAGTCTAGTTATAATAGTATGATTACTAGTAGAGATACAAGTGATTTATTGAAAATATTTAGAGCCAGATATGTTACAAGTATGTGGAATTCTTCATATTTTAAACAGGAAATATGGTGCATAGATCTTATATTATATAATATCCACAATAGTATTGACACAGCACTCCATAATCAAACTCTGTAATATAGCTGTAGTGAAACATATGAAGGTTCACTAAACTCTACTCTAAAGAGAAATAAAGACTATAAAGAACCACATATCTTTCATTTCAAGTTTTGCTATCAAATGTATTTGCTGCAAATTTTGGTTTATGGGGCTTTTTAGGATTTTGGAATTATCTATGAAGCGGTGTATTTCAGTGTGCTATGACACAAATTAGCACAGCATAGCACAACAGAGTATATAATTCTTTTCAAATATTGAATAATTAATATCATATATGATAGTTGCAAACATCTCAAATATGATCAGTGTCAAAAATATTTATGTGCCATTTGGATCTTTATTTTACATACTATGTAAGACACATTACATTATATTATATTATATTTACATACTATATAAGACACATTACAAAATATCAGATAAGATATATGCATCTGCATGCTATTAAGTTGAAAGTGGCCATGTTTACAATTTAGTAACATTATATCTTAATATATATTTAACTATACAAAACATGTTACTTCTGGCTCCAGAAAATGAAGAAAACTTAGCAAGTTATGGTTTATACTGCTACTTATTTTCTGTGCTTAATTTCTGGAAGCCAGAACATATTCATGGATAAAAACAACATGCTAGGGAACTCATACACAGAAAACTATGTCCTGAAGCAGGTTGTGGTGTTGCATGCCTGCAGACTCAGCTATTTGGGAGACCAAAGTGGAACAACTGCTTGAGCCCAGGAGTTCCAGGCTGTAGTGTGCATAATTCCAACTGTGAGTAGCTACTGCACTCCAGCCTGGGCAACATAGTGAGACCCAGTATTTTAAAAAAGTAAAAACAAAGTAAATTTAAAAATAGAAATTTTAGTCATTTTAAGCAAAGAAAACTATATTCTGTATCACTGAAACCAGCATCCTCAGATGGATGTCTAGATTGGTTAATGTCAGGCATTCTGCTGCAGGTGCTATCTTTCACTATCAGATTAGATGCTAAAACCATTGCACACAAAACCCAGATAATTTATAAAGTTGAACTTTTCTATGATGTTGCTTGATACCATAAAACACAGTAGCACTATTTTCAGCTGCAAAATCTTTCTTACCTTAAAATATTTTTTGCAAGAATTCAAGTACAATAATAATACTAGCTGCCAAAAATTATTGAGCATCGCCTATGCATTAATCATTATTCTTGATTCTTTACTTGTAATATTAGATTTAATGCTTACTACATCTGCATGTAGAATATTATTAGTATCTACATACTATTCACAAGGGATCTTGCCTAGAAAAGCAAAGACCTTTACCCAAGGCCGTGCAGATAAAAAGGGATATACCCAATTTGGAATGAGGTTCTGTGTGACCACAGACATTTGCTCTAGAACGCTTGATTGTTTTTATCTCTTTACTATGGTGATATTAAACCTTGGGTGTTTGTTAGTCAACAAGAGAATATCACCAAAACACATACATGATTCCTCTATTTGTTCATTTCACGGTAACTACTAGCTTTTCACAGCATTTCATATGTGTTCAGAATGATGCTAAAGGCAAATTCAATTTTTAAAATAATTTATTTGGGGTGTTATTTAAACCAGTAAAAGGAATCAACTTAAAAAGGTATTCAGAAGTATTCAAAGTGATTATTAAAGCAGTTAATAAACATCCTTTCATAAAGCAATAAAACAGCAGGAACCTGAGGATGCTGGCTATTCACTATCTAAGCTGAATTATCAAAGCAATAAATAAAAAGTTCTGCAATAAGCAACCTCAGCAAACAAGAAATTAAGCATTTTTAAAATAGAAATAAAGAATTCTATGACAAGAGATCAAGAAGAAAGAATAAAAACTGTGGAGCTCCAAATTCTATGCTCTTCCTCTGTTAACTAATCCATGTAATACTTCACAGGTAGGTAAATATTAATCTCCCCAATTTGTAGGTAAGAGAACTGTGAGATTCTGTGAAATCACGTTATTTGTTCAAACCTCCAGCTTAAGTCTGCTGATAGACCAGAATCTCAAGGCAAATACCACAAGATCACACAGTGACTAAGTTCATCCTTTGTGTGAACAGATAATATGAACCGAATTTTCACGGGGATTGAAATAAGTAACACAATTTTACATACATGCATACATATATACACACACATATACACAAAATCTAATTCTTAAGCATCTCAATGGGTACTACTGATATAACTGAATACATTTTTAAGAGATTTTGTGTAACTGACTTCTTCCTGTTAGAGAGAGGGGGGAGGAGAGAGAGAGAGAGAGAGATTGATTTAGGTGGATAAAAATAAAATGACTTGAATAAAAAACTGCTAATTATTGAAAGAACTAGAACACAGGTTTTTTATTCCTTGTCCAGAACTCCTAATTTTTTTTTCATTTGCAAGGTATCTTCAAGTTCTCATCAACTCTGTCACCAGGTCTTTATCTTCGAAATACTCTTCAGAGATTAACTAATTTCATCAGAAAAAATTGCAAAGTAGTATAATATTTTGCTTTTGTACAAATATTTCAGTTTAGCAGTAACACATTTCCTCTAAATGCAAGTAAAACTCTCAATGGCACAATATGTTTTGTTAATTTAGAAAAAATTTTCTACTTATTAGTTGGTTGTCATTGGACCAAAGGAAAACAAAAACAACAACAACAACAACAAAAATCCATCAGCACAGATCTTTGCTAATGATTTGAAAGCCTCTTGATGATATGAACACTCTGCAATTTAGGTTCATACGAAGAACGAAATGCACTGATAAATAAATAATGGATAATAACACAGAAAATAAACTCAAGAGTTTAAAAATCATTTAATTGATTTAAAATATTCATATTGACTAGATTCCTCCATGTCCAAACATGGCATTAGTATAGAGACAAGGACACCATATCCAACTCATGTTCTATAGTTACTTTCAATCCTGCGGAAATCTTTGTCAAGAGCCTACTATGTGCTAGTATCCTTGGAAGCTTCCTTATATTTCATATTCAAAAAGAGGTAAAAGTAGAGAAAACCATATTTTGTTCACCAAGTTTCCTGAAACCTATAATTAAAAGAATGAAAATAAATGGTAGCTTTCAGAAATCTTTGAGTATTCACCAAGTTGACTGTCCTCTTGTGATGGCATCACAAAGGGTGCTGATGAGCAGGTCTAAAGGAACAGAAAAGGTCTGGTAGATGCAATGACTGAGTAGTAGAGATAGAGACAGGGTTTGAAGAATGAATCAGGAATATGTAGTTGTGCAGACAAGAGGTTAGTTAACAAATTGACAAATTGTTTTATGTCATGTCCATAGAAGTCAGGTTGTGTCCTGAGGGCACAGATCCAAGAGAAAAAAGAAAATGAAGACTTCAGCTATAAAAGATAAAAGTAGGTAGATTTGGTTTCTAGGCATTAGGTTGTCATTTTCATTTTTAAAATATTTTCCTTGACTATGACTACACATGAGACATAGATGACCAAAAGAAAACAAAGATTCAACTTGATTACAATCCCAGTTTGGAACAAATGAAACAATGCTCAATTATCTCATATTGGGTATGCACAATAATTTGAAGTTAGTAATGAACTCTTATACACTCTTATTTCTGAGTGTTATTACACATGAGGAGTACTGAAGTTAATAGGTTGATCTCCAGACCCATTCAAGTCACAGCTGAGCTGCTTAGTAACACAGGATTTAGAGAGTTATATAACTTCTCTGAACATCACTTTCTGATTTCCAGCGTTGAAATCTCATTGGATTGCTATAAATATTAATGGGGAAAATTCAGATAAAATACAGAGCCATATAAAGCTGATAGTGAAAGCTTAATAAAAATTTAGCTCTTACTATAATTAAAATTAATCAGTAATTGATAACGGTTACAAGTTTGGGTTGGATTTTTTTGGACAAGACTCCAGATCCATGGAATAAATCGACAAATAATGGTTAATAAACAAGAAGAGATTTTGATTGCATCTTTAAACAGTAACTTATAATAATTTCTCCAGGTAACTATCTACAACATAACTCATGACCCTGTTTATACCTATCAGTTTATTTAAAAAGTGACACAGCATAATGAAAATAGCAATTGTCTTTCTTGAAAACTGATGTACCTGAATTGGAACCCTAATCTCCTGCTACCTTAATAGTTTGACTTAATTTCTTATATCATCAGTTTTGTCAACTGCAAAATGTCAGTTACAATAATTCCTACTTAAAAGAGTCATTGTAAGGATTATGCTAGATGAAATAAATTAATATTTTCAGGAACACTTAAAACAGCACCTGTTACATAGTGTTAATGTAAGTGGTTTTCAAGTGAATTATGCCAACACTATTCTTACATAGATCTTATTCAAGAGAGAGAGCAAAAGCAGGAATTAGAGAGAGCAAGGCAAAACATGCACGTGCACGCACACACGCACACACACACACACACACACAGAGAATCACAATTCAGGAAACAGGACGCTATTGTATCATTTAGATGTGTTATTAGTTTTTAAACTTCTCATGTTGTTTATTGTTAAAAGGCTTTTGAGTAGGCAATATCTCTGCTAAATTACAATCACAATAATTATGTTATTTCTTTCAAATAACAACTGATAAGTTCTCTTTTAAAAAGTGTTAAGGATAATCACAGTTAAGTCTAAGATGATGAACATCTTAGGTCAATCAATGCTATCAATACCTTAAGATTCCTGCTTCTATTGTTTAGGATGGCAAAGATAACAGCTAAGTGGTTGCACTATTAAAATTGTAGAGTTTAGGGACACTGCAATTCCATTCCTCTTTGCTAGGTAGACAAAATTCAACTACAACAATTCACTTTATTAGATTCAGAATATTGAACTCAATATTCAAAACCATCTAATATAGGGCCACAGAATTAACTATGTCTTCTCTTACAAGATCACTTAGAATTCAAATAGTAGAATAATAACAAAAATCAGAGTTAGAAAAATAACTACTTTAATATAACTGTGTATCTGGCTTGCATGGTTAGTTGTGTACAGCACAATTTTGGGGCTGTGCCTATCCTTAATTTTAGAGAAGCTTGTGATTTTCTTCAAGTAATTTTAAAGTTCAGGGAATAAACCATTTTAAGTTAGCATTTTTTTCCTCTCTACTTACCTTCATGACCTAATTTAAATTCAAAATTTACTGAGGCATACAAGAAGAGCTGTTATTTTGCATATGGGACTGGAAAATGAAATGGCCGTATCCCTGTTGTATGAGAAAATGAGATAAATCCAAGTTGCTTTGCATTCATAAAGTAGCAATGAGCTAAAAATCTCACAGCCAGATTCACACAGACACATTTATGCAAAAAAGTTTAAACCACATTCTACAGTAAGAAGCCACTTTGGGGAATATTTTTTATCTATTCACCATTTTTTCAACAGTCTCTCTCCCTCCCTCCTTCTCTCTCTCTCTCTCCCATCCTTCTCATTCACTCTCTTTTCTTTTTAAAATTCCCATGACAGTTTCTAATGTTCACCTTAGACTTAACTGTGATTATCCTTAACAATTTTTAAAAGAGAACTTATCAGTTGTTATTTAAGAGAAATAATATAATTATTGTGATTGTAATTTAGCAGAGATATTACCTACTCAAAAGCCTTTTAACAATAAACAAAATGAGAAGTTTAAAAACTAATAACACATGTAAATGATACACTGAGACAATATTCTGGCCAAAATATACCCCAGATTTATTACGGAAAACAAAAACAGCTTAGGGATCTGCTCTACATTTCCAGCAATTGAAAAAGAAGAGAAAAACAAGAAGAAACAGCAACAAACTGTTTACTGGATATGGGTCATGAGGGTATATGCAAACTAACAGCCTATTGCCTTCATCAGCTTCGCAACCTTACCAAAGCTTTGGAAGGTATCAGAGCATATTCTTGGCACATATTATTCTCTCCTGCAAGACCTTGCTAAATCTCTACTTACCCTATGTGATTTAAACATTCCACAGGAGTGGCAACATCCATACATTAATATGATTGCTTTTCTATATAAGCATGTCACTATTAAACCAGCATAATGGAGGTAAATGTGTTACATTACTTTTCATTATTGGATTTAGTTGTGTTGGAAAATTCTTATTCTTTTATCCAGATTTTTTCTGAGTAAAAGCTTACATATTTGAGACAATAAATTGCAACAGATACTTCTATAATCTATAGCTATGAAAAAGAATGTAAATTGTACATAAATCTCACCCTAATATTAATTTCATTCATATAATATTGAAAGCAGAAGTAGGATAATGCATCCAAAATTTAGGCCACTCTGGTAACATATTCTAATATTGCTTTTTCTTTTATATAGTCTGCAAATTTTGTTGACATGTCTTAGAGAATTCCACATAAAAATGTGGAAGGGAAAGCCACATTCCCAACAAATCCCTTCCAAAACTCTGATGAAAAGATACCTTTCTGACAAGATGCACTAAAAATTACATCATGTAATTAGCATTTATGACTCACATGCACATCAATAATCTTCATCATTATGTTATATTTGGAGCATATCACCATTTACAAAGTTTTTATTATTCATTAAAACTTCACAAGGTGCCAGGCAGATCCAGTTAATCAATGAGTCATATAAATATATCTCCCCACCAACCCATACAGAGGTGCATGCGTGCGTGCATGTGTGCACACACGAACACACACACACACACACACACACACACACACACACACACACATGCTCTTTGCTTCCTCTCTACTCTCACTGCTAATGCAGTATCTTTCTTTCCTTGGTCAATAAACTTCCAAATGATAGCTGGTTTCCAGATGTTCTCTGGTTAGCTCCTCCTCTACACTGCTACCTATATTAGTTCTCTAGAAGACAGTTTTATAAAGATATTCTTAGTGATTCTTCTTTGGTTAAAAGACAAATCTCAATTTCTGAACAGATGAGACTTGCAAGAGTCTCTAACGACCTCCAAACTTGCTATTCGCATCTCCTGCTTCCCCTTCTCCATTCATGTGCTGGTTGCTCCAGCTAAAAGCAAACTGCTTACTATTGCCCATATTCTTTACTATTCCCACTCTTTTGGACCTGCAATGTTTAGCAGACATTATGCCATCACCCTAGAGTGATTTTTCTCATGAAAACTTACTAGGTATTACTTTTCTAGCTTATCCATAACCTTGTCTAGAGATACATGTATAAGAAAATTTCTGAGGTTTCTTTCTGAGACTCCTGGTGGAGTAAGTTGTCCCCATAAGAAGTCAAATTTTATTTGTTTTCAATTTTATACCATATTTTATATTATAGCATGACCAAATACATACTTGAGACTCCTGTCAAAAATGTAGATTTGTGGAAAGGACAGTTAATTTCCTAAGCTATAGCTACACTGACTGCTTCTGATCAGGGTGCATAATATCTATTATAAATGACATACAAAATACCATTCTTTATTCACATTTGCATTTGTTTATTCTAACATTGAGAAGAGCAATTTTACCTTCTCTTTCAAATTTTGAATGCTTTAATCTTTAATGACTTCACTAGCTGGGATTTGGTAAAAGAACAGGTTGAAAATGAGGTTTCACAAAGAACTCGTCTTTGAAAATCTTTCTGAATCTTTAATAAACTCTCAAGGTTGTTGAAAATGACCTCAGGGTCGTAAAATATTATTAGGCTTTACAACTGCATATCTTGGGTGGGAACTAGTTGGCCAGAGCTTGGAGGGGAGATAAGTGGTTCCGTTAAATTCTCTTCTGTATAATACCTGGTGCTGCAGGGGAACCCTGTGGGTATCTAGTAAGTATTATTTCAAGATAATGAATATATAAGGAAGCACTATGGCAGGCAAAATTTGTAATCTTACTTTGTTCTCATCCTATGTCACAGAGAGTTCTGAGCAGCACAGTGAAACTGCTGCTTGACTGCAATGCTAGGGAAAATTCACTCAAGCATGTTCTTAGGGGTCAATTTTTAAACTATAAAATGAAGTGTGATCAACTTTTTCAATGGCCTGTTTTTTAAAGTCCATTTGCTGTAATGATCATTGCTTAATGTTGTCTCTGTCTTTTCTGCTCAAAGCTTAATTCATGGTCTGGCGGCTTTACCAACATCACCTGAGAATTCATTAGAAATCCAGAGTTTCAGATCCCACATCAGATATACTGTAGTAAAATCTGCATTTTAACAGGATCTTCAGTTGACTAAACACAGCTTAAAGTTTGAGAGGCACTAAGCCATCAAGGAGCATAATTTTCTGGATTCTATTAGTTCGATACAACCTAAGACAATAAGACTTAGAATGTAAAATTAAAATATTATTCATTCATAACACACTAAGAAAGAAAATGTTTGCTGCCTATTTCTAGAGTGTTTTTGACCACCAAATCATATTTATCTTCATAGTCTCCTCTAATGAGTCGAGCAATTTTATATGTAGCACTTTTGATCCCATTTTGTACTTTGTATTTTAGTTATGTATGTGCAAGCTTCATTTATTAAGGAGTTATTTGAAATAATTGGATATAGGAACTTATTTTATACTTCATAGGACCTGGAAAACAAGCTTCCCAACATTCAGAAATTATTATTATTCCATAGCATAGATCAATTCTTCACTGAAAAATAAATATTAGTTTAAAAACTATTTTTAAAACTATTTAAAAATTCATAAGGAACCAAAAAGTGTCTGAATAGCCAAGTAAATCCTAAGCAAAAAGGACAAAGCTGGAGGCATCACATTTTCTGACTTCAAACTACACTACAAGGCTCCAGTAACCAAAACAGCACGGTACTGGTACAAAAACAGGCATATAGACCAATGAAACAGAATAGAGAGTCCAGAAATAAGGTCAAACACCTACAACCATCTGATCTTTGACAAAGCTGACAAAAACAAGGATTGGGGAAAAGACTCCCTATTCAATAAATGCTGCTGGAATAATTGGCTAGCCATATACAGAAGAATGAATTTGGACCCTTTCTTTACACCATGTACAAAAATTAACTCAAGATGAATTAAAGACTTAAATGTAAAACCTGAAACTATAAGGCTGGGTGCTGTGGCTCACGCCTGTAATCCCAGCTCTTTGGGAGGCCGAGGCAGGTGGATCACAAGGTCAGGAGATGGAGACCATCCTGGCTTACACGGTGAAACCCTGTCTCTACTAAAAATACAAAAATTAGCTGAGCGTGGCTGCGTGCGCCAGTAGTCCCAGGTACTCGGGAGGCTGAGGCAGGAGAATCGCGTGAACCCAGGAGGCGGAGCTTGCAGTGAGAGGAGATCACTGCCACTGCACTCCAGCCTGGGCGACAGAGTGACACTCCGTCTCAAAAAACAAGCAAACAAACAAAAAAAACCCCTGAAACTATAAAAACCATGAAAGACAACCTAGGCAATACCATCCTGGACATAGGAAAAGGCAAAGATTTCATGACAAAAACACCAAAAGCAACCACAAAAAAAGCAAAAATTGACAAGTCGGATCTAATTAAGCTTAAGAGCTTCTGCACAGCAGAAGAAACTATCAACAAACAGAAAATCTACAGAATAGGAGAAAATATTTACAAACTGTGTAATATTATCTGACAAAGGTCTAATGTCCAGCATCTATAAAGAACTTAAATAAATTTACAAGAGGAAAACAGCCTCATTAAAAAGTGGGCAAAGAACATGAAGAGACAGTTTTCAAAAGAATACATTCATGTGGCCAACAAGCATATGAAAAAAACTCAACATCACTGATCACTAGAGAAATGCAAATCAAAACCACAATGAGATACTATCTCACACCAGTCAGAATGGCCATTATTAAAAAGTCAAAAAATAACAGATGCTGGTAAGGTTGCTGAGTAAAGGGAACACTTATACACTGTTGGTGGGAGACTAAATTAGTTCAACTACTGTGGAAGACACTGTGATAATTCCTCAGAGAGCTAAAAGCAGGGCTACCATTTAACCTAACAATCCCATTACTGGGTATATACCCAGAGGAATATAAATCATTCTACCATAAAGACACATGAACACGGATGTTCACTGCAGCACTGTTTACAATAGCAAAGACATGGAATCAACTTAAATGCCCATCAGTGACAGATTGGATAAAGAAAATGTGGTATATATACACCATGGAATACTATACAGCCATAACAAATAACAAGATTATGTCTTTTGTGGGAACATGAATGGAGCTGGAAGCTATTTTCCTTAGAAAACTAATGCAGAAACAGAAAAACAAATACCAAGTGTTCTCACTTATACTAGGAGCTAAATGATGAGAACTCATGAACACAAAAACGGAAACAACAGGCACTGTGGTCTACTTGAGGGCTGAGGGTGGGAGGAGGAAGAGAAGCAGAAAAGATAACTATTGGGTACCAGGCTTAATACTCGTTGACGAAATAATGTGTACAACGAACCCCCTTGACACAAGTTTACTTAAGTAAAAAACCTTTACATGTACTCCCAAACGTAAAATAAAAGCTAAAAAAAAGAAAAAATAAATATTAGTTTATCTTCGGATATTTTACATATTATATATTATAATATATTTTTATAATTATGTTGAGTGCTCATAAATATTATCTAAATATGTATTAGTAATATTTATAGTTTTATTAATCTGATTTATGCACATATTTTTAAAATATATATTAATTATCTACTTTATGCCAGGCTATGTTCTATATGGTTGGGAAGCTGTGGTGAACAAGAGAGCCAAAACTTCCTCTTCTTGTGTAGATAACATTTTAGTGGGGAAAACAAAAAACAAATAAAAATCAAATTATGGCTGGGCACGGGGGCTCACGCCTTTATTCCCAGCACTTTGGGAGGCCAAGGCAGATGGATCACCTGAGGTCAAGAGGTCGAGACCAACCTGGCCAATGTGGTGAAACCCCATCTCTACTCAAAATACAAAAATTATCTGAGAGTGGTGGCTCACACCTGTAGTCCCAGCTACTCAGGAGGCTGAGGCAGGAGAATCACTTGAACCTGGGAGGTGGAGGTTTCAGTGAGCTGAGATCGCACCACTGCACTCCAGCCTGGAAGACAAAGCAAGACTCTGTCACAAAAAAAAAAAAAAAAAAATTACTTGGCAATATTTGTTTTAGAGAAAAATAAAGCAGGAATTTTAATAAGGGATGCAGAAATAATAGAAAAGGGGATGGATGTGGTCCCACTGAGCTTTATAGGGACTAGAATGTAGGACTAAAGATAAATCTTAGATGCTCAAGTTTTTATAATGATTGATAGAAATGGGAGAAAAAAAGACATAAAGAAATTAATTTGGATAGTCTTGATACAGATAATGATGGAAGACTTATGAGTATTGGGAAGTGGTCAGAGAGAGTAGGGTCTTACTAGGATGACACAGATTTCCAAAGCCCTGTTTTCATTCTTAGCAAGATGACTGAGAGGCTAGGAATAGGTTGGTTTATCAGGCACATGCAGATTTCTAGGGTTTTATTTGAATCATATTTCTAAAAGTAGGTCTTGTCTAGGTCTCGTCTGATCCTCACTTAAACATATGATTCAGAAATTATTATCCTTAATTCATAATGAACAAACAAAAAGCCAGAGAGTAATTATTTTTAGTTGGCAACACAGGTTTGCTAACACCAAGGCAAGCAACAGACCACACTGTCTACTGTGACATAAAATAAATAACATTTACACTGATATAAAATTTAGATTTCTCTGATGACCAGCGATGATGAGCATTTTTTCATGTGTCTGTTGGCTGCATACATGTCTTCTTTTGAAAAGTGTCTGTTCATGTCCTTTGCCCACTTTCTGATTGGGTTGTTTGATTTTTTCTTGTAAATTTGTTTAAGTTCTTTGTAGATTCTGGATATTAACCCTTTGTCACATGGGTATGTTACAAAAATTGTCTCCCATTCTGTAGGTTGCCTGTTCACTCTGATGGTAGTTTCTTTTGCTATGTAGAAGCTTTTTAGTTTAATTAAATGTGCAAATCAAAACCACAATGAGATACCATCTCACACCAGTTAGAATGGTGATCATTAAAAAGTCTGGAAACAGGTGCTGGAGAGAATGTGGAGAAATAGGAACGCTTTTACACTGTTGGTGGGACTGTAAACTAGTTCAACCATTGTGGAAGACAGTGTGACGATTCCTCAAGGATCTAGAACTAGAAATACCATTTGACCCAGCCATCCCATTACTGAGTATATACCCAAAGGATTATAAATCATGCTGCTATAAAGACACATGCACACGTATGTTTATTGCGGCACTATTCACAATAGCAAAGACTTGGAACCAACCCAAATGTCCATCAATGGTAGACTGGATTAAGAAAATGTTGGCACATATACACCATGGAATACTATGCAGCCATAAAAAAGGATGAGTTCATGTCCTTTGTAGGGACATCGATGAAGCTGGAAACCATTCTGAGCAAACTATTGTGAGGACAGAAAACCAAACACTGTATGTTCTCATAGGTGGGAACTGAACAATGAGAACACTTGGACACAGGGTGGGGAACATCACACACTGGGGCCTGTCATGGGGTAGGGGGATGGGGGAGGGATAGCATTAGGAGAAATACCTAATGTAAATGACGAGTTAATGGGTGCAGCAAACCAACACGGCACATGTATACATATGTAACAAACCTGCACGTTGTGTACATGTACCCTAGAACTTAAAGTATAATAAAAAAAATTAGATTATCACCCCAAACATATCATTAATTCACACCAGTAAAACAGAGTCAATGTAAGAAACAGAAGCATCCTTTCTGCTGCCATAGTCCATGAACCAAAAGCTTTCTGGGTCTGCCCTCAAGGTTTTACAAGTCCATTTGTTAGAATACTATAATGATTCACGATTCCCACTCTTAGAGATCTTCCCCGGTTTGTGAGATCTAAACCAAAATCAATTTTACTGGGCAGGAATGTTAGGCAGAGGAGAAATGATAAAGTAAAGCAGAAATCCCTTGTCAGGAGAAAAGTTTGAGTTATCTGGAGTGTCCAAAATGGCTTACTCATATACATTCACATCTTCACACTATAAATAAGTTATGCTTCTTTCCAGTGCTTTAGCTTCAAGGCAGTCAGGCCTAGTGAGATGTTAAACTGAAATGGCAGGGAGGCTAACTTAGTGTCACAAAGGAAGCAGTTCGCCTCACTATTTCTAAGTAAGGGCACTCATCCTTGAGACCACTAGCTTCTCTGCATGAAGTAGAAGTTTCTGCTTCCTTGTACTTCTGTTCACATATCAAACATCTAAAATAGCCTCAAGTAATGAAAGCCTGGAAAGTTTTTGAAAGTGAACACATACTAGCTGGCAAATCTTGGCTTTTCATATTCTCCAGGTAAAGTGTTCAGCTTCTGCCCTCTTTAACATTGCATTGTAATGGTCATTTTCAACATTATCTTGTGTAATGGCTCTGATCCCTCAGGAATGATGGATGCGTGCCTTTCCTGTAAATGGTTTAACATCACTAATGTAAAAGGGAATGAGGACTGTCAGTACCGGACATTGCTGAAAAGCAACTGATTATCTGGCTTTTCAGCTCCCAGTTCTATGGAAATCACCCTCAGTCAGAGAGCCATGTGGTTATTATCTGCTTCTGAGACTTTTAATATTATTCTGTGATGGCTTTGTAAGTTTCAGGTTAAATTTAAATAACATTTCAACTCCCCTAATTATTCCCAAAGCCTGCATTTATTATCTAATTCATCAATAATCATTTGTAGCCCAACTTTTATTTCAATGAAAACTACCTGGGGACCCATGGAGGAAAAAAAAATGTGGTCTATGTAATTGTATCTTATTAGGTGTATGGTTGTATAGCTGAAACCAGAAAAACATTAACAAAATAAAAATAGACCCAAGAACTTCTTCCTTTGACTTCTGCTGAGTCTTCAGAGCAAGATTATCTATCTATCTGTCTATCTATCTATCTATCTATCTATCTATCTATCATCTATCACCTATTTATTTATATCTATCTATCTATCTGGCTATGTATCTGTGTGACTATCTATCTATATATCTTTATCTCTCTATCTCCCTGTCATTTATTATCTATTTACATAAGTATTTGTCAACATTATGGAATTGATAAAGAAAAAACTAAAATTAATAATGAAATACTAAATACCAGATATTTTGCCTACAATAATATATTCTGTGTTTACTCAGTAATCCTTTGTAATGGGAATTACCCCAATTCATAGACGCTCATTGGAGAAAGTTGCCTAAAATTAGTTGTCTGACAAACACCAGAACTGTTATTTAAATTTAGGAATTTTTAATTCAAATGTTTGCATCCTTTCTGTCATATCATTCTGCTTCAAGGCCAGGAATTTGATGGAATCCTAAACTTAGGCAGGGACATGGTTTTATTTTTCACTTGACAGCTTCTCCAAGCAGAGGTTATCACACCTTGCTATAAGACTTTTGGAGGACAAATGGGTCAGAAATGAATGAGACAGAAGAATTCTGGCTGTAGTCATGATGGCATCTGAACCAAGTATACTCTTATTGGTACTCATGCCTTTCCCCTTGTTGTTGAGGCCACTTGTTTTCCATGATCTCACAGAGTATATGGCAGTCTATATTGTTGTGTTCTTTGTTCCACACTCCCACCTCTACGTATGGTATAATGGTTATTAGCATTAATTGATTTTACTTCAGTTATTTCAGTGATAGATTTCACTGTGGTGATTTACATGCTGATGGGATCATATACAGTTTGAGTATCCCTCTTCTAAAATGCTTGGGGCCAGTGCTGTTTCAATTTTTTTTTTTCGAACATTTCCGTATACGTAATGAGAAATATTGAGAATAGGATCTAAATCTAAAGAAAAAAATTCATTTATGTTGTTCATATACACTTTATACACATAACCTGAAGGTAATCTTATACAATATTTTAAATGATTTTGTGCATGAAACAAAATTTTGACCCTGTTTTGACTGTGCCCGATGACAAAATTCACAGGTGTGAAATTTTCCACTTGTGGAATTATGTTGGCATTCAAAAAACTGGGGATTTTGGAGAATTTCAGATTTCAAATTTTCAGATTAGGGATGTTCAGCCTTTACCTAAAATTAAAAAGGTGACTTCAGATCTTGAACTTTCAATTCTTCTCATTCAACCTCCAGCATCACAATCAATTGTACTTTTTCTTTTCAGAGTTAAGAATTTGAAAACAAATTTTCCATAAAATAAAACTTAATCAAATGAACAAATCATGCTTCCTAATTTTAATTATTACCAATAAAATGATGTTGAAATTAAAGTTTGAGAGATTTTCTTTTCCTTTAAGATTGGAGCTATTAAGAGAAGATAACACTTTCTAGGCATGCCTTCATTACATTAAAGATTGATTAATATCTCTACAAATTAAACCAGATGTCATAAGACTCATAAAATGAAAGGGACATTAGAGATTGTCATTATTCACTTAAAAAGAATGAGATCCCGGCCACTTTTGTGATTAACCCAGCATTTTGTAGACAGTACTGCAAGAGGTAACTTCCAGCCCACAATGTCTGAATTCCCACCAACATTTCTCAAAACACGTATTTGCTTCACTTCCTCCCACCCCATTTTCTTGACTTACCCATATTTTAAAAAAGCAAATTTTTATTTTGTTTTTATTTCCTACCATCATAGATCTAAACATAGACTGAGGTGACAAGGTGCCTTACAGCTGGTTTGCCCAACTGAGATACGTGCCTTGATTTTCAATGCATGGTGAAAACATCCTGCAGTCAGACACCTGCAGGCAATCAACCATACTCCTCTGCTGCACCTCAAGGCCACAGCTCCTGGCAAGCACATCACAGCAGCAGTCATCTATTGTACTGAGCAGTAAGAAGAGCACCTGAGCAGGAAGAGTGACAGACTCAGGAAGGGCTAGCCTCACCTTGGTTCTCAACAATACCCTGTCAGAAGTAAGGTGTTGTTTTAATGAGAATCAACAATTTCTTGATCACTTATCCTCCCAGTTTTTGCCAGCTGACTCAGATGGCCACTACCTTGCTGGGAAAAGACAGTTAAACTCCAAATCCTATAATCTAGCTTTGACACAAAAGCCTGGTTTATCTAGTATTGAAGCATCATGTAATGTAACCTTTGTATTAGAGAAAGCTTTTGAAAATGAATCCACCTTGTAAATCTATTAGGTTATTTTCTACGAGTTTATTTATTGCCTCAGGTAAAATAAACCAGATACATTTCTAAGATTTTAGGTAGATATACCAAGCACACTGAATCTGAAACACAATGGCATTTTTTTCTCCTATGGTCCCAAATTTTGCCTGGCTATTTTTATCATACAATAATCATATACCAAGTTTTAAAGGGCAGTAAAATTTAAAAAAAAAAACTATTTTCTTATGATCTGAGCTAGTATTATGTACAATTTTTCCTTTTTTAAAATTAAGATATTGTTTAAAAAGGAATAGGTGATCAAAACAGCAAATAAACATAAAAATTCACAAAAGGAAGAAATCAACCAAATAACTCACACATAATGTCTTTGAAAATATTTGTATGTATTTGTGTGTGTACATTTCTTTTATGAAGATGGAAGTATCATGTACAAAACCTAGTTTTCCCATTTAAGAATTTATAGTGAGTATTTTTTCACATCTAAAACCATAATTTTATAGCATTTTAGAAGGCTTCAAAGTATGCCATTAAAATGCAATAATTCATTTTGGTAATTCTCTGTTATTGGATATTTAGTTTATTTCTGAGTTTCCACTATTTTAAAGTTTATTGAATATAACATTTATCCTTGCACAGCACAGAATAAATTGCCATGAATGAGTAGCAACTCAAAGGATATACTCACTTTACTTTCAACAATTTTATACCATCTTATACTCCTATTACTCAAGGGCTCTTGTTTATTTGTTCACTTAAAAAAGAAAGTTTAGATGTCAACTTCATGCCAGGCACTATCCTGGGTACTGGGGCAACGGGTAAGGAAAATAGACCTAGTTGTAGCGTGTAGATGGAAACAGTCTAATTTAAGAGATAGGTGATTAATCAAATAATTATACTCTATTATGTTCTATGAAAACAGTGTAGGACAATATAAGATCATTTAGCAGAGAGACCTTACCTAGTTAAGGGATAAGAACGTTTTCCTGAAGAACTGATGATCAAGCCAACATCTGAGGTGAATAGAAGTTAGTATGAGAAAGGGCTACAGAGGAAGAATTCTACAAGAGGGGGCAGTCACACTTTTGCTAAGGCCTAAGATGTTTTATGTCAGGAAATATGACGACACCATTAACTAAAAAGTTAACATCATCCCACCACTCAAAGAATTGGAGGATTGTGAAAAAAATGAGTCAGTTATGAAAAAGAAAGAAACTGTATTTTCTATTATGTTCACATTTTTAACCCTACTACAATGTACATGATTTTTTCTTTTTTCTACTCCCTTGATTAATTGTATAATTTAGTCATTGTCATTTATAAGTTATCTGAGAATATTCTATGCCCATTATGTTATCAATATGGATTTTTAAAATAATTTTCATATTCAAATGAGTAATTGATATAAGTATGTTGACCTTTTGTCAGCCCTTATAAGTATTTTTCCTCTAGATTACAAACCAAAAGTACTATTTTGACATAAAGAAGTTTTATTTCATGTAGACAAATCTATTAGACATTTTCTTTTTGCTTTATGACTTCAGTGTCATACTTAGAAAGGCCTTTTTCCTAATAAGATTACACAAACAATCCTAGCCTTTCTGAATTTATTGCTAGAGGGACGTTGACCTGCTCAGCGGAATTTACGCTTTTCAGAAGGAGAGTGAATCTTAGGTCATATATACTTAGGCTTTATTAGCCTTATGGTCTCATATTATAGATTATAATCTGTTTTATTGAATGAATTATAACCACACATGTTGAAAATGGCCTTAAAACCCCCACCATGTAAGTGTATAGAAATAGCCTAGGGTTGGTGTTCACATACTGGCATATATACTTCCATGTATAATCTACAAAAAGGGCTACACAGCCTCTTGAAGAGTAATGGGATGAGGTGTTTCTAGGCAACATACTGCTGTAAGAGATAGCATACTGTTTTAGAATAGCAAATAAATCCCTATGGATAGAGAAGAGGGGCAGGGTATGCCAAGAGGTAGTAGAACCTGACTTTGTATGACAGTTAGGTAATTTGGACTCTAAATTTAGACTATGGAGAATGGTTGAACATTTTTAGCTGCCAAATCACATGATCAGAAGGACCAAGACGAAAATATTTTCAAAAGTAAAAAGAACATACACATATAAGTTATTAACGTCTTAGGCACAAAATTTAGAGATGTTGATGAGCATCCATCAAAATAGCCTGACCCAAAAAGAATTTTAAAAATCCACAATGTAAGTAGCAACGTTTTAATAGTTATATTTAAACACAATCTGGCTTCTAAAATTGTTATGCAAATTCTACTGTACTCATGAAAAAAATAAATGAGAAAGAACATTCAAGAGAACTCTGAAAAATAAGTTATAATAATTAAAAGTTATAATTACAAATGCATTAATACATATAGAGACCAAAGGAAAAGAAGAGAAAGGCTGGGAATAACCCAAATGCATATGGATATTTTCTAGGTAATAAAGGCAATTACCTCAAATTAGTAGAGTTAAGACGGACTTGTGAATAAATGATTTTGAGTCAACTGGGTTAGAGAATTTAGATCCATATCTCATGACATATAATCTCCAAATTAACAAAATATATGTGTAAAAAAAAACTTCACAACTGCTCAAAGAAAATATAGGTAAATAAATTTATCAACTGTAATAAGGAAGAACTTTCTAATTATGACTAAGAACCTAAAAATCATCAAATTATAAAAAGATGAAAGCAACCATAATTACATTAAAACTTAAGGCAAAGACTATCATTGCAAAGTCAAAATAAGAATAAAAATCTTTCAAAATGCTTTGTGTCATAGAAAAAATATTAATATTCCTATATAGATAGATTTCCAAGAAATCAATAAGAAAAAGACCAATAGTTCTTAAGCAGATAAAAAGAGGTTTTAATGCACTTAAATTAAGAGAAATACAAAAATCTAAAAGATTGACCTCAGAGCCTTTTCACAGGACAATGGGGAAAATAAATTTTCATAAATTTTTGGCAAGAGTATGAAGATGAACAGCTTCTGTAAAGGAAAACTTAGTAACACCTCTCGAAATTACAAATACATCATTTATTGATTCTGCAATTCCACTCTTGGTTAACTATTCTATAGATATTCATGAACACATGCAAAATAAGAATATAACGGTAGCCACTGCAGCATTTTTGTCTCTGCAGCATATTTACATAATCTAGAGTTTAAAATCAAACTAAAATTTAGGGTACAACTACACACCAAAATATAATGCAGCACTTTAGAAAACAAATTATCTCTGTCCTAATAGTAAATGATCTCTAGAATGTATTCTTAAACTAAATAAAAACATTTCAGGAGAGTATGTAATACAGGTGGGAGAAAATACATATTTGTATTTCTTATAATTTGCATAAAGAAACAATGAGAGAACATATAAGAAACGAACTAAATAGGTTTATATAGGGAATGGGTACAATTGAACAAGACAAAGATTAGAACCAAGAGTTCTGGTTGTATACCTTTTTATACTGCTTTCATTTTTTACATGAATTATTCAAAATATAAAATTAAAATAAAATGACAAATAGAAATTCTATTGTACATACATATATAATTTTACAGAATACATAAACCACCAAAGTAAATAAACAGGACACAAAACAGAAAGAAGTTTTATAATTTACAAAAACAGAAAGAAGTTCTATAATTTATTTTTTATACTTACCTAAGTAAATGTTTCATAATGGAAGAACTATAGACATTAACTATCATCATAAAATAATGTAAACAGATGCCCTCTCTATTATCTTAGTCACTAGTTTTTTGGGGTACAGTTGGATGATGAAGCATAATATATATATTAACAATAATTTAAAAAGGCACTTCTTCACTTTGGGAGGCCGAGGCAGGCAGATCACGAGGTCAGCAGATCGAGACCATACTGGCTAACACGGTGAAACCCCGTCTCTACTGAAAACACAAAAAATTAGCCGGGGGCGGTGGCGGGCGCCTGTAGTCCGAAGCTAGTCGGGAGGCTGAGGCAGGAGAATGGCGTGAACCCGGGAGGCGGAGCTTGCAGTGAGCCAAGATGGCGCCACTGCACTCCAGCCTGGGCAACGCAGCAAGACTCCGTCTCAAAAAAAAAAAAAAAAAAAAAAAAAAAAAGGGCACTTCTTAGGTTGCTTAGGCTAAAAATTGAAAATACCTGTTCATCCTCTGCATATCACTAATTTGAGGTTCTAGGAAGTTTAATTCATTTGTATAATATTAGTATAGTAGCAATGGAAGGTGTCATTTGCTGCATAGTTTATTAAAAACACTATTGTTCCTCTGCTGTTTATTTTGGTTTCCTTTCATACACTTGATGAGCGTAGTAAAGTTCCATATAGAAAACCAACCAAGGCTAAAAGCAATACCATCATCAGTCAATTGCTACTTCTCAGGCTCAGTGTGCGGTTCCGTAGCATTCGAAGCTGTACCTGTGGAAAATGGGGCTTTAACCTTGGAGGATAGAGCAATTGAATACTAAAATAGATTTGACTACTTTAGAAAAAGTTTCGAAAGCCTTCAAGATTCTTCTGGTAACAAAATTATTTACTCCTACAAAGCTTCAACTCTGAACTGAATGAAAATGACAGACTTGGACAGAAACCATCAGGAAAAGGTACAGTGAAAGTATGTCCACATATAGATCGCAGACAACCACAAAGAAACAGACAATGAAACAACCATGCCTGTGACCATTATTCAGGTAGGGGTGATGGGTATTTAAGAGAGAGAAACAAATTCTGCCTAATATTACCTCTGGTTTTTTATGGAGAAAGTATTTAACGCCAAAACAAGAAAATAGAAAACATTAAATTATTTAAATTAGCAAGAGATGACAAAGGAACAAAGTAAGAGGTGGGAACAGTAATTATTTAGTATGTATTAAAATGATACATTGAGCTTTCCAGCACAAATAGAGCTGATTGTTTGTAGGAGAGGATCGAGGTTTCAATCAAATAGCCACATTACCTTTCATTTGGCTTCATAATTTTCTTCTTAAACAAGTCTCGCTCTGTCACCCGGGCTGGAGTGCAGTGGCATGATCTCAGCTCATTGCAACGTCTGCCTCCCGCGTTCAAGCAATTCTCCTGCCTCAGCCTCCCGAGTAGCTGGGACTACAGGTGCATGCCACCATGCCCAGCTAATTTTTTGAATTTTTTGTAGAGACGGGGTTTCACCGTGTTAGCCAGGATGGTCTCGATCTCCTGACCTCGTGATCCACCTGCCTTGGCCTCCCAAAGTGCTGGGATTACAGGCGTGAGCCACCGCACCTGGCCTAAACAAGTCTTTTTTAATGGGTGGGGTAGTGATACTACAGACCTTGGCAAAGAAAACCAGTAATTTAAAGCTTGATTTACCAGCAAGTAATGGAGGCTGAAGAATTCTATAAAATAGCTGCAAGTTGCCATCTTACACAGTGGTAGGGGTTCTGATCAGCAGTTAGACTTGTCAGTTTCAGTTCATTGGACCTATATTTTGTTGTTATTGTTTGGTTGTTTCCTTGCTTGGTTGCCAGTAAAGGATCAAGGAACAACATTTCTTGGAAAAACGTTAATAAATTAGTAGTTTATAATAATTACTTTTAGCATTTTTTAAATGTTTTTAAGTGTTATTAGGCAGCTGAAGGAAGATTTTGGCATACAGTCATCATGTTAGAATTTAAAATTAAATCAATGACACTAAGGTGACAGATGGAACTTCGATTGTTCACAGTGAAGGACGTCTGTGGGTTCTCAGTGCACTGAATTTTAAATTTAGTGATTAAAAAAAACTATGAATTGAAAAGTTGTCTTGGAAATTACTCATTTCTTTTTTTAAAGATGAATGATTACAAAACTACATGGCTTGAGTAGATTTTAAAATTCAAGGCAGTCCTAATTCATACTGGATATAAATATAAAAAGTTGAATTCTCTTTAGAATCTTAATATAAATAACAATGTACCCCACCACAGCCATCATTCTGTCTGCCATTGTGCCCCGATATTTTTAGTTCACACTGTGTGTTAAAATTAGCCCTTGTAGGTTTATGTGTGTGCTTACATGTTCATTGTTTCTCTTTCCCTGTAGACTAAAAGCTGCATGATGGTAAGGATCACCTATTTTTTTATTTTATTTTTTTTCTACTATTGAAGATCTAGCATAGAGTAAGTGCTCAGTAAATGTCTGTTGAACTAACAAGTTGAATAATCAAGGAATCTAGCAATCAAAATAGAACGTTTTTATCTTCTGTTTGGGACCAAGGTATGAGATCACATAGTTGATGATTTGCAGGCAAGCTTGCACCCAGAATTTGGTCATTAAAATTTTTATTTTTGTCTCACTTTACAGTCTACAAACATTCTCTCATTTGTGGATTCTTCACGGTAGTATATGTATTTCCCTGGCACAAGGAAGAGCACATGGTATACCACACCTAACAAGTTCTTTAAAGATCTTCGATATCTTTTCTAGACTCTAGACTCTTAGTTTACTATAGAACAGTTAACCGTCATCTAAAATACATGGTGAGTCTTCCAAAAAAGATTATCCTGCCAGGCCCATTGTTTTATTTTGTTTTTAAGGCTGAAATTATCACTTGACCAAGAGATGACACTAGTATGTATTTTCATACCTGAGGGAAGGTACTTTCTTTTTATATCACATTTTATTTTTTATATACTACTATTTTAAAGCTCTTTACAGGCATCTTTCTAAAAACTATAATTGTTGGCTAGGCATTACCATCAACATTCCAAAATAAGTAAATGAAGGCTCCGAGAAGTTAAATAATTTGCTTGAAGTTTCTCAGCTGGTAACTGATGGAGCTGAGATTCAAAACCAGGTCATCAAACGGTGAACAAAGCTTATGCTCTTAGCCACTATCTTAACAATTATAGCTCAGTCTAGGATGTCATTTTTGTTTCTGAGATAGGCTCGGGAGTTATATTGCAACCCAGGGTTTTCATAGAGCAGAGTGATGAACTGGCCCCATTTCATGAGGAATATAGAGAAATGGCCACAGATGGGTATTTGGCTTCACAAAAAAGTTGTGGAGAAAAAAAAGAACACCTCTGTTCTCCCTGTATGTCCTTTTGCATTATGTTTCTAATCTTAATAAAACTTCTGCCTAGAAAACAGTAATCTTGATTCAAATTGAGCAGAACTATACCAGCCTTGGCCAATAATATGACACTGTGGACATAGGGAGGTAATAGCCTCATTCAGCATAATTACAATGAAATTCACAGACACATGATCTCTAACAAGCACGTTGGCCATCCTTTCAATTAGTTCTTAGGACACTTAATGTTGGTTAACTGCTACTTGGGTGAGAGGATGTTTTAGACATCAAATCACTGCTCAGTTCTTCAGCCTAGATGTAAGAGACTCCATTTGGGTCATGTGATAGAGGTGAGTCTTTCTCTCTGCTAGCACGAATAATCTGGAATTTATATAATTGGCCAATATAAAGCACCTACCTCATAAAAGAAACTCAGTTACATAAGTCAAAAGATACAAAGGTGAGCACCTCATTTTTAAATTTTTTAAAAAGTAGTGTTTAATTAGAAACAGAACTCATTTTCAGGATTATAATTAGAGTAGTATAGAAGGGAATAAATCTCTCCAAAATAAAAATTTCCCTAACTTGCCACCCTTGACACAGTGTCATTCCCTGAAATACAGTTAACAAGTACTTTACAGTTTTTCCAAAAAATGCTTTGGCATGTATGTGCTGTGTATAAATATACATACATATTTATATACATATATACATATACATATATATTCAAAATAAACCTATTTTGTGTACATTAGACCAAAGTATAATAATATAACATGATAATGTTCTGCATCATTTCTCACTTAACATATTAAACAATATATCTTTAGATACTCCAAAATAGTGCAGAGATTACAATAAAACTAAATAGACAAATTGATATGGTTTGCCTGTGTCCCCACCCAAATCTCATTTTGAATTGCAGTTCCCATAATCCCCACGTGTCATGGGAGGGAACGGGTGGAGATAATTGAATCATGGGGGTGGTTTCCACCATGCTGTTCTGATGATAGTAAGTTCTGATAAGATCTGATGGTTTTATAAGGGTTTTTCCCCTTCACTCAGCTCTCATTCTTCTCTCTCCTGCCCCCTTGTGAAGGACAAGTTCGCCTCCCCTTCCACCATAATTATAAGTTTCCTGAGGCCTCCCCAACTCCTGCAGAGCTGTGAGTCAATTAAACTTATTCCCTTTATAAATTACCCAGTCTCAGATATGTCCTTATAGCAGCATGAGAATGGACTAATACACCAATGAATGGCTATACCAAAGAAACTTAGCCAGTTTCTACTGAAGGATATTTATGTCCTTTACAACAACACTGTAGGGAATATTCCCACTTATATCTTTGTACTCTCATACAAAAAATATCTGTATGATGAATTTCTATTAGAGGAATTACTGGGTCAAAGAGTATCTTTGTTCTAACTGGAAAAGTTATTATTAAACTGCCTACCAAATATGTTTTACCAGTTATGCTATTTATGTGCAAAAATGGTTGGCAAGCAACTACATAAAAAGCTTTTTAATAACAAAAATATGTGCATTATTAAAAATATTAAATAACACAGAAGAGGTCACAATGAAAACAAACTTTTTTAGAACTACATTTGCAGTCCTCTCCAAAGAGGAATTAAATTTTAACTCTTTTAATTTTCTCTGTTCTAAATTATTCTGGCAAATTCCTCCATATGTCTAAATTATATTTTACTAATATCATTGACTAATTAATTTTAGATATTATGCAATTCACTCCTGCTATAGCAAATGGGAATTTGGCTCAGTCACATGATTACCAACTTCTCCTCAATTGGTTTCTTGCAACACTGAATGATTATAACAAGTGCTTTTGTAACTTTGTGCAGTATACATAAAATCTTATTTATAGTTTCATGAAATATAGACAATTTCTCTTGAAGGCTCCCTATCAGATTGAAGACACTTCCTTCTTCCTCTCTTTCTAGCCCATCTACTGCCCATACACCGGATTTTTAATTTTATCTTCATATTAAGATACATAACATGCATATTCTATTCTGTAATTAATTTAAGCCTTCTATATTTTATTCATAGGCTAATTTTAATGTTGAAAATTAACAAATGCTTTACATTACTGTGAATATGAACATACGGTTTACTATACAGACAAAGACTATATTAAGATTATATTTCCTTTTGTATTGATTTTACTTTATTTTCTCTTTACTATATCGTGGTTTTTTTCTAAACTTTTGTCCTTTCTTTCTATACATTTTTGGAGTACATGACACTTCAGTCAAAATATCCAAAAGAAAATACAAAAATAGCACATACAAATAAAAATACAAAAGCAACAATCTAGATGCCCAGGGATATTTAAATAGTGTAATTATGTGCGTGTGTGTGCATGTGTGTGTGCGTCCATGTGTGTGCAAACTATAAAATACTGTACAGAAGTCAATAATAAAATTAACCAGTCTTACACACATGCACATATTATTTACACAATTTATATAAGACTTATGAGTAGTCACCACCCATGTCAAAGTTTAAAGCATATGCAACACCCCTCATAGCCCTTCTCATTCGATAATATCCCTCAGTATCCTCTTATCGCCTTAGACTAGCTTTGCCTGTCTTGAATTTCCAAGAATAAAATCTTGTACTATGATCATTATGCATCTAGCTACTTTTACTCATTATTATGGCCATAACATATATCTATGTTGCTACATATAACTATAGTTTGTTCTTTTTATCTGTAAGTATTATTCCACTGTTTTTATTTATTTATTAGTTTGTTTATTTTATCTTTTAGAGTCAGGGTCTTTTTCCGTTGCTCAGCCTGGAGTGCAGTGGCATACAGGCTTGAGCTCCTGGGCTGAAACAATCCTCCTACCTCAATCTCCCAAAGCTCTGGGATTACGGGCCTGAGCTACTGTACTTGGCCTATTTCATTGTTTTTAAATTGCAGAATGTATCCACTCACTCTGATGAAATTTTAGGTTCTTTGTAGTGTTTCCCTATCATAAATAATGCTGTTAGGAACATTCTTGTACATGTTCTTTTGTAGATGTAGGGATATTCCTGGGAGTATGATTGGTAGATTATAAATTACTTATATCTTTAGCTTACTGTAATAGATATTATCAAACTTTTATGCAAATAATCCCACCAGCTGTGTACGAAACTTCCAGTTGTTCCAGTTTCAGCTATACCTGGTATTGGCAGACTTTTTAATTTTAGCCATTCTAGTAGATGTAAAGTGTTACATTTGTGTTTTAATTTGAATTTTCCTTATAGGTAGATATTCTAAGCGTCTATTGATTATTTGTATACTCTCTGTTTTTTGCTTATTTTAAATGAGGTTGCTGACCTTTTACTTTTTGACTTATAAGAGGACTTCTACATTCTGAATATAGGTCTTTTGTTAGATAATTGTAGTCTAAATATTGTATTGTTCTGCTTGCACTGCCGTAACAGAAAACCACAGACTTGGTGGCTTAAACAACAGAAATTTATTTTCTCATGGTGCTGGAGGCTTGAAGTCTAAGGTCAAGGTGCAGGGACGCCTTGTTCCTTTCTTCCTGGCTTACAGTTGTCACCTTCTCACTAGGTGCTCACACAGTATTTTATCTGTGCAAGCACACTCTTGCTGTCCTACTTTCTACATGGATACCAGTTCTATCATATTGGGGCTCAACCCTGATGACCACATTTAATCTTAATTTTCCCTTCAAAGACCCTGTTTCCAAGTACAGTCATATAGAGTTTAAGACTTCAATTCACGAATTTTGGGAAGATCCAATTTTATCCATAACAATTATTTTCAAGTCCATGTTTTGCCTTTTTTACCCGGTTAATGGTGTCTTTAATAGGATTTCTGAATTTTAACTAATTTTATCATTTTTAATTATTGGTGTTATTTGTATTTTGTTTAAATAATCTTTGCCTTCCCAAATCTCCTTAAAGTATTACTCACTGTTTCTTCTAAAAGTTTTATTGTCTTACCATTCACATTTAGTCTACCATCTATATTGAATTTATTTTTTACTATAGTGTCAAGTGGAGGTTATTTGTATACATATAAATAACCAATTAATAAAGCATTAGTTATTGAAAAGGCTATTCTTTCCCTTATAGATTCACAATATTGCCTTAGTCAAAAAATTAATTTTTTTTCTAGTTTTATACCTGTTTTATGCCATATATTAAATCAAAATAAAATTATTTTAAAAATCCATGTCTCCATTTATCATCATAGAAAAATATCCAATCTTTTGCATCAAAAGATTAAAGAGAAGACTAAAATAAACAGCATTATATCACCTATATAAATGGGAAAGTCGCTTCACTAAATAATGGCACAGATAATTCATCATTAATCACGTTTTATGCACACATACACACGTACAAAGTAACACAAGCATTCCAAGAAAGGGATACAATTGAAACATAAGACTGACTGTATTTAAATATTCAATGTATAGAGAAATGAGCTTAGGGTTAAAGTGTAATAAAAATCAACAATAAAATACGTAAAATAACAATATACATGATTATGATGAACTTTAAATTGAGAATGTGATTGATACTTAGTAAATTCTGTCTTGGAGAATCCTAAGCAGAAATGATTTCTTTAAAAATTTGTATGGAATATCTAGAGTTGTTGCACATCTTAACATATATTAATTATACCCTCCTATGTGAGTGAAAATTTTGAGTGGGTATAGAATTGAATGTTATATAATGGTTTTCTATAGTACTGTGAGGGGATTAATCTACTGACTTCTAGCATCTGATGTTGCAGGTAATGTGTTTATACTGGCCGGATTCTTTTTCTCTTATAGATTGTATTTCAGTTGAGTTATTTCATTTGTTTTGTTTGTTTGATTTTTGGTAACTTTTTCATTTGCTTGCTTGCTGGTTTAAGTTCTAGATGTTTTGGTTTTCAAAATGATACATCTAGAGGTGGCCTTTTTCAATACTGTCTGGGGACTTCAATTGTCCTTTAACTCTTGAACATTATCTTATATTATATCTGTCAATACTCTTCTCAATATTCTATCTCTCTCTTATTTCAGAACTCAGATTTGTGATTTGGGACTTTAAGAACTGATGCAGTCTCTTTTTCTTAAACTGTGTATTTTTTTTTTTTTTTCTGAGTAGTGGTAAATGCTTCCTTTACCTTTCTGCTAATAACACTATCAATATCCCAAAAGCCTTTTGTTATTTGAAAACTCACACAGGGGAAATGCTTGTATTCTTTTTTGTTCCATTTTGTCTTACTATGTTTCCTGCTGATATGACCACATTTTCTATGTAACCATAATTAAGAGAGTTAATATATGTGACTCAAATGATACAGGTTAGGCACCCAATAAGTGTTAGTTGAATTTCTGAACAAAGATATGCATACTGCATTTAACAATTCTTCATATTTTGTGTATGCATATAAACCTATTTGTCTCTAAAGTAGTTCCAAAATAATGTTAAAGTATGTTTATCAATGTTTTACATGTATATACAGATAGAGATACACAGAGAGAGAGAATTGGTATGATTAAACGCATATATACGTACACATGCCACTAAAGGATGGTACAGTACCAGTATATAATTTCCCTGTACTTTGATTGTAATCTTATACTCAGCCAATTACAGCTAACCCAGTGGACTGTACTGTAAACTCTCAGTCATTGGGTACCAATAATAGTCTCTGTCTACAAGCTGTTTCCCATAATATCCTATTTGAGTATATACTATAAAATATATGTGTGGCTTATTCCATTGTGAGCTCTCATTCTGCCATGTATTCAGTGTCCTAGCAAAGACTTTGACCCATTAAGATTGACAAAGCACATAAAAAGAAACCCAGAAAGAATATTGTTCTTGATTTTCAAATGCAAATATTATAGCACTTTAAGTGAAAGAACAAAGAAGCTACAGATTAAATGAGAGCTAAGTAGGATCGTGGGAAGAAATTCAATGTTATAAAGACGGCTATAAACTTCTCTGGAACCTAAAAGGGATGTCCAATTCTTGTGTGAATCACAGTCAGAAATAGCTTTGGCTGGCTCTCAAAAAATAATTTTTAAAATGCAAGGATAACTGTCAATATATGAAGTCAGAAATACACCTCCAGAGAAGCCATGCATATCTTTGATTCAGTTAGTTCTCTCACTACCAGTATCCCTTCTCCATTTGCAAAGCAGAGTGTATGTGAAAAAGTCCTAGTAGAAAAGCCAAAATATACTGTACTTAATATCTAGGGCTATTATTCATGAACTGTAAGCTTAGGCATCTGATTATTGGACATGTGCTAGGTAATATAAAGTCTTCATAATTTATATCTCTCCATGTTAATTACACACGTGCACACATACCCTGTATACCACATAGGTCTTTTTTTCTATCTGTGGATGCTATTCTATCAAGCAATTTAGCATTTAACGGAAATGTAAAAGTTGTGGCCGAGTGAGGTGGCTCACGCCTCTAATCCCAGCACTTTGGGAGGCCGAGGCAGGCAGATCACGGGGTCAGGAGTTCGAGACCAGTCTGACCAACATAGTGAAACCCCATCTCTACTAAAAATACAAAAAATTAGCCGAGTGTGGTGGTGTGACCTGTAATCCCAACTACTCGAGAGGCTGAGGCAGGAGAATCACGTGAACCCAGGAGTCGGAAGTTGAAATGAGCTGAGATTGTGCCATTGCACTGCAGCCCAGACGACGGTGTGAGACTCCGTCTCAAAAAAAATAATAATAAAATAAAATAAAATAAAAAGTTGTGAGCTGGATTATGCATGTGCTAATGAGCAAAGCGTAAATGCCAATGTGCTCAACTAGTAAAAAAGTATAAAGTTATAGGGATTAAATAGGGTAGAATCTATGATAATGGCAAGGGGGCACTTACAATAATAGAATTCAAAGTAATCCTAGAAATCACAGATTCCAGCGGCAAAATATTAAATATAAAAATGAGCAGTTTTTCTGAAGAGATGAGAAAATTAGCTAATTTTTTAAAGTCCATGTTTCACAGGAAATAAGAAGAAAATAAAAACTGGAGACAGTATAAGAATCTATGAAAGCAAGGCTGGCAAAGAAAATGAAGTTTACAGAATTGGAAAGAAATGAAAAAATAACTACTGACGAGAACTCATCAGGGAATACTTTTTGAAAAATGTGAACATACATAAACCAGCAGGACCAAAGAAAATGGATCCTTCGGTGTTGAGGGAATTGACTAATGAACTTCCCAGAACAGTCACAATTGTAGCTGGAAAGTCATGGAGCACTACAGAGAGCCAGAAAATTGGAAAACAACAAGAAATGTGGCATCGTTTACTGAAAATGGGGAAGCATTGTTCTATCATGTACCTCCCAAGAAGCTGAATGCCGACACTTTAAAAAACAAAGTAGACTATTAAAGCTGCCCTACTTGTGTTCCTCCAGGGCAAGCACTTTAGTGTGTGTGGTATATGACTCAATTTGCAGGGCAAGGGGAAACTCCATAAATAATATTTGCTGAAGAGTATAATTGAGTCACATTCAACATAACCTACTTGGCAAATCCGTGTGCTTCTCCCACAAAATCATAGAGCAGATATATAACAGATATTAAAAGCTCCATGGTTAAACATTCTTGATATTGACAGTATAGAATAATTGAGCAAGAAAAAGGTTGATTTTTCAATGAAGATGGATAGAGGAAATGGATTTAATTTCATTTTTGCATAGAGCTCCCCCAGGATTAGATGGGAGACAGAACTGGATTTGAATCCGAGATCCCCCAGTTTATTTTTTGACTAAAGAAATTGATAGAATCTGAGTCGCAGGTGTTCATCTAGAAAATGTCTAACAATACAGATTATTTATGTATTTACACGTGAATTTTTTGGTAAAATAAATAAGACAGCCACCGTGAAAATTAAAATGTAATAACATGAAAACAAACCAATTACATAGAACAAAACCTGTGAAAATAGCAGGGGTTCAATACAATTTAGTTTCTTTCCCTATTTCGGATATAACATCCTTCAACTCTCTTTAGCACAGCAGTTAAATTTTGAAAATTAATGGATAGGAGATACCTAATTTCCTATATTCATATTCATTAGATTAAAACAAGGATCTCTACAGGAAAACAAATGTTTAGCCTCTTGGTAAAATATTACATAAACTTTGAATTTGAATACGTCTTTTATTCACCATAGAGAAACCTAAATTTCTAAATGTGGGGTTTTTGTTTTTTTGTTTTTTACTTCTTTTATACTATTGGACTTGAGAGAGATTAGAAGATTGTATTAGTCCGTTTTCATGCTCCTGATAAAGACATTGCCGAGACTGGGCCCAAAAAGAGGTTTAATTGGACTTACAGTTCTACATGGCTGGGGAGGCCTCAGAATCATGGTGGCAGGTGAAAGGCACTTCTTACATGGTGGTAGCAAGAGAAAATGAGAAGAAAGCAAAAGCAGAAACCCCTGATCAACCCATCAGATCTTCTGAGACTTATTCACTATCATGATAATGGCAGGGGAAAGACCAGTCCCCCCCATGATTCAATTACCTCCCCCTGGATCCCTCCCACAACATGTGAGAATTCTGGGAGATACAACTAAAGTTGAGATTTGGTCAGAACACAGCCAAATCATATCATTACGCCCCTGGCCCCTCCAAATCTCATGTCCTCATATTTCAAAACCAACCATGTCTTCCCAATAGTCCCACAAAGTCTTAACTCACTTCAGCATTAACCCCAAAGTCCACAGTCCAAAGTCTCATCTGAGACAAGGCAAGTCACTTCTGCCTATCAGCCTGGAAAATCAAAAGCAAGCTAGTTACTTCTTAGACACAATGGATGTATAGGCATTGGGTACAGCTATTCCAAACGGGAGACAATGGCCAAAACAAAGGGGTTACAGGGACCATGCAGGTCCAAAATCCAGAGGAGTAGTCACACTTTAAAGCTCCAAAATGATCTCCCTTAACTCCAGCTCTCAAATCCAGGTTTTGCTGATACAACAGGTAAGTTCCCATGGTCTTGGGCAGCTCTGCCCCTGTGGCTTTCCAGGATACAGCCTCCCCGCTGGCTGCTTTCATGGGCTGACATTGAGTGTCTGCAGTTTTTCCAGGTGCATGATTCAAACTTTTGGTGGATCTACTATTCTGGAGTCTGGAGGATAATAGCCCTCTTCTCACAGCTCCACTAGGCAGCACCCTACTAGGGACTCTCTGTGGGGGCTCCAGCCCCACGTTTCCCTTCTGCACAGCCCTAGCAGAGGTTCTCCATAAGGCCCCCACTCCTAAAGCAAACTTTTGCCTGGGCATCCAGGCATTTCCATACATTTTCTGAAATCTACGTGGAGGTTAACAAACCCCAATTCTTGACTTCTATGCACCCGCAGCCTCAACATCACATGAAAGCTGCCAAGGCTTGGGGCTTCCACCCTGTGAAGCCACAGCTTGAGCTGTACATTGGCCTCTTTCAGCCATGGCTGGAGCAGCTGGGACACAGGGCACCAAGTCCCTAGGCTGCAAACAGCATGGGGACCCTGGGCCCAGCCCACTAAACCACTTTTTCCTCCTGGGCCTCCAGGCCTGCAATGGGGCTCCTGGGCCATGGAGGTCCCTGACATGGCCTGGAGACATTTTCTCCGTGGTCTTGGAGATTAACATTAGGCTCCTTGCTACTTATGCAAATTTCTGCAGCTGGCTTTAATTTCTTCCCAGAAAATGGGTTTTTCTTTTCTATCACATAGCCAGACTGCAAATTTTCTGAACTTTTATGCTCTGTTTCCCTTTTGAAACTGAATGTCTTTAAAAGTACCCAAGTCACCTCTTGAATGCTTTGCTGCTTAGAAATTTCTTTTGCCAGATACCCTAAATCATCTATCTCAAGTTCAAAGTTCTACAGATCTCTAGGGCAGGGGCAAAATGCCACCAGTCTCTTTGCTAACACATAACAAGAGTCACCTTTGCGCCAGTTTGGGAACTGGAGTTGGGAACAAGTTCCTCATCTCCGTCTGAGACCACCTCAGCCTGGATTTTATTGTCCATATGGCTATCAGCATTTTGGGCAAAGCCATTCCACAAGTCTGTAGAAAATTCCAAACTTTCCCACATTTTCCTGCCTTCTTCTGAGCCCTTCAAACTGTTCCAACCTCTGCCTGTTACCCAGTTCCAAAGTCACTTCCACATTTTTGGGTATCTTTTCAGCAACGCCACACTCTACTGGTACCAATTTATTGTATTAGCCCATTTTCATGCTG
This sequence comes from Homo sapiens, assembly GCF_000001405.40. Classification (NCBI taxonomy): domain Eukaryota; kingdom Metazoa; phylum Chordata; class Mammalia; order Primates; family Hominidae; genus Homo; species Homo sapiens. The sequence continues at coordinate 52,256,642 of NC_000002.12, forward strand.
CTGATAAAGACATAGCCGAGACCAGGAAGAAAAAGAAGTTTAATTGAAGGTACAGTGCTACATGACGGGGGAGGCCTCAGAAACATGGTGGGAGGTGAAAGGCACTTCTTACATGGCGATGGCAAGAGAAAATGAGAAGGAAGCAAAAGCCAAAACCCCTGATAAATCTATTAGATCTTGTAAGACTTATTCACTATCAGGAGAATAGCACAGGGAAGACCAGCCCCCATGATTCAATTACCTCCCCCTGGGTAATTCCCACAACATGTGGGAATGCTGGGAGATACAATTCAAGTTGAGATTTGGTGGGGATATGGCCAAACCATATCAAAGAATAATATATTTTCATGGAAGCAGAAAAACACAATGATGGGCTGTTTATTACTGCTAAATCATTAAAATTACTGTGCAACCTTTTTTATTCTCTGTAAAAAATGTGGCAACTTAAATTTGGTCTCTTTGAAATAACGTAAAATACTTACAATTAATTTATAGCATGGATGGACTATATAGAGATGATTGAAACTGGGTTATTTATGTGGCTCCCACACAGAAGTTGTGTTTACTATCCTCGTTTCTCCACAACTAACCTGAAATTTCTTGTTCTCTACTGTAATTTTCAATTAGTGTATTAGACACGGGAGATGGAAAGTTTGCATTTCTAATTATACAAATGTGTATTTTTTGTTGTGTTTGAGAATAAAACATTTCAACTCTCCAACAGAAATATGAATTAATATTTGGTCTTAATGAGAGCAAACCTCCAAAAGTGATTTAAAAACCCTCCCAATCAGCTATTGAGAATTGTAATAACCAATGATTGACTGTCCCACAGTTCTGACTGTGGCAGCCACAATCCTGTAACCGAGGCTAAAGGTCATCCAATGCCTAAACATTCCTGCTAGTGAAAACCTACCAATTTCTGATAAAATGTTTCCCAAATCCTACATATAAAAGATAAGTAATGTTCTTTGTTCAGAGATATTGTGTAATATCTCAGCACAACTCTCCATTGCTGAGCAAAAAATAAATAGGTTCTTATTTCCAACTTTGCATGGCAATTTCTTCCTTCCACATCTTTAGACAACAATCAGAAAAATCGAAATTACATCTCAAGTCATTTGTAAACAATTTCAATGCCTTTTGAGTCATATTTTGCTATATTCTATTTATATTAACAATTTCAGAGACTGAATCAAAGAAGACTATCTCTCCTGAGAGACACAGGCAATTTTATAACGTATTTCTTGCTTAAACCTCAAAGAAATATTTTGTAGACTACTGGTGAGTTCACATCTACTTACATTCAAAAGATAATCTATAATACAATAATTATAGTTGTTTACTATTTTATAAAATGGAACAGGAAGTTAATTTGTTCAGAAAGGAGTTTTATATGTATGGTACTGCTGCATTCTTGGGTTTATCACCTAACTCTACCTGTATGAAGGTAAATACCAGCATCTAATCTCATCTTCTTAAAACTGTATATGCTAAATAGCATCGTCAATTCTCCTAAGGTAATTATGAAAGCATTTGTCATTATTCAAGCTACTAGAATATCTACATCATAAGATTTATTGTTTACTCAGCTAATTTATATAGAAACTTTTATGCTGGTGGTTGCTCCACATGATAGAAAAGCAAACACAGCCCACCAAAAAAATTCCTTTATGACATAATTATGATATTCTATTAAACTGTCTTAGTGGCACTCTGAGTCCTGGAGAACAATTTACCAATCATTAAAATATTCTAAATCCAGACTGTTCTACTTCTGTCTATCACATTCTGAGATTCTACGTGTTCTCTTAAATTGTGGTGGTGGGGGAAACTGAGACATACTGGTTTTTATGAATGGACAAATTCAAGAAAGCCCATTTGAGTCTATTACCACCCATTCCAAATAAATCAAACAGTGTCAGTTAAGGAACTGCTCCTTTAATATAAGCAAGTATTCCTTATTTCAAAATTCTGAAGACTGTTTTTTAAATGAAATGCAGTGTAGCTCTTGTTAACAGAAGAAATATGATTCATTTAAATAATACTAGATAGGATTTTCTTTAGAAAGAAATAAAATTCTTTCTAAGAATTATGGTGAGCAACTCTTAAGGAAATGGGCCTCAGATCCCACTAGTACCATCTGCCCTATTTCCCTGCCTTCCCTAAAGAAACTAGAGCTCACTCCTCAACACTGTATCTGGGAAAACCTGGACTGCGGGAAATCTGTTCTTCTTCACCAGGCTTAGTGCAAACAGAGTTTGCAAAGCACAGAGACCAAGGGCCTGCACTGTATTCTCATGCAAAGAATAAAAGAATTTCCTGGGGGAAGAAGTTGAGACATTTCATTGAAGGGGCTGGCAGAGAGACCAAGGCAAAATTATAAGGGTTATAATCATATACATGTAAGTATAAAGGAAACAGCCTCAAAGGATATACTCCAAAGCCTTAAACATTATAAGATCACCGCCGGGCGCAGTGGCTCATGCCGGTAATCCCAGCACTTTGGGAGGCCGATGCAGGCACGTCACCTGAGATCAGGAGTTCGAGACTAGCCTGACCAACATGGAGAAACCCCATCTCTACTAAAAATACAAAATTAGCTGGGCACGGTGGCGCATGCCTGTAATCCCAGCTACTCGGGAGGTTGAGGCAGGAGAATCATTTGAAACCAGGAGCAGAGGGTGCAGTCAGCCAAGATTGCGCCATTGCACTCCAGCCCAGGCAACAAGAGCGAAACTCTGTCTTCAAAAAAAAAAAAAAAAAATTATAAGATTACTTTCTCTTCAGCATGTGCTGCCCCATCTAACTTGTGTTTCAAATAAAGTGAGATCGTTAGGAAAAAAATTAAATTTTTATATATCTGTAATATATTGATTTTGTGACCTTTCATCATTTGAGCTTTATTTTCTTTTTTGAAACATAAAATAGTTCAACTATCTGGAATATTTCTGTGAATGGCATAACAAAAAACTATAGACCCCCCACCCTTATTAAAAAATATAAAAGATATTACAGATAAAATTGAAGTCCACAACCATTCTTGCCCTGCCCATCACCAGACTCACCAACTCTCCATCTCTGAGGAGATATTACCATTCTAAAATTAAGGCATCATATTATGTCCATGATTTTTTACTTTTACTCTAACTATATGTAAGAGTCTGTATGTATGTGTGTGTCAACATATATTTGGATATGTTATATACATGATAATATGATAAATATACATATACACATAAGCAGTGTGTATGTTAATTTCTTATTTTGAAAAAATATATATATTTTATAAATCCTGTAACATCTTTTTTGTTAAGAAATATATTTAGAATCTACCCCTTTTAAACAGGTAGATCTTGTATATTAATTTTAACTGATGAACAATATTTCTTTGGATGAATGTATTATATTTTCTTATTCATTCACCTGCTATTAGATAACTATGCTATTTTCATTTTTTCCCTTTGACACAGTTCCATTAAATCCCTTAGATGTCTCCTTGTGAATATTTATGAGATGGAATTGTTGAGTGTTATATATAAACAGCACTAACCAGTCTCTATGACTTCATCAAAATATCTTTCGTTTTTGAGATAGAGCTTATAAAATCATTGTATGAATTTATATTTGTATCAAAGTGTAAAATACTTTTTATTTGCTCTCATTTTCAATAACACTACATATTGTCAGACTTCTTGATTTTTTACAAATTTTTTTGTTAAATTATAATTGTTTTGACTTGCATGTCTTAGATTACTAACAAAGTTGAGCAGCTTGTGAATTTAATATAAATTCTCATTTTGTCTTTCCTATTCACCTGATTTGTCTATTTTTCTAAAAAATAATTCTTCTTATCGATTAACAGAAGGCTTTATTTATGTTTTGAATGGTAATTTTGTCTTAAATATATAGTTTATTTATGTACTCTCATACAGGGTTTAACAGTGAGTTTTAGTCACCTAATATTTTGTTAGCAGGTTTAATTATAATCTAATAAAATATATTTATCTTTATTTAGGATTTGTACTTATTTCTGGTATTAAAAAATACATCTATATTCATCTCTCCAATAAGAGTATTTAATTTTAGATATATCGCTTTGCTGGAGGGGAATTTCACTTTTTATAGGTTCTAAATTACTTTACTTTTTATAAATGGTATATATCTTTCCCCCCAGCATCTTTAAAATGAAAAAATCATAGCTATTTTTAATGTTTCTTTTGCTATATTTAATATTGGGTTAATATCTCAGTGTATTTCTATTTTTTTTTACTACTATAAGGTTTCCTGCTCTATTATATGCCTAATTTTTTTAATGGAAGTGTATATTGTGTATGCTATGTTGTAATGGCTTTGGATGTTGTTAAATCTCTCTAAAGAGTTTTAAATTTTGTTAAGCAGTTTCCTTTGTTTGTTTTGTTAAGCAGTTCTTGGGTAATTTGGATTCATGCCTGGCAGATGGGTTAATTTTAGTTGCAGCCTTTCTGTTAGAGCATTGCAATATTGTAGATCTCAACTAAAAGTCCAAGCTTTGCTAGTTTTTCTGTTTTTTAGAAAAGTCTGTGCTTGTCTGTGCTCTCTGATCCTAAAAGTTATGCTCTGCTAGGCCTCTCTGACTTTCTTTGTATATGTGCTGATTGTGAGTTGGTCAAGAACTCGAGAATAGGGAGATTCCTCATGGGCACCCTATTTCTAACACCCTGTCCCTAAAGTCCCAGCTTCCTGGTAGCCCTAATTCCAGTCATTATTTTCTCTACCCAGAAAGATGGTTGCTCTCTACATAGGCTCAACTTCATGAAGCAACTTGAAAAAAATTCCTCAGAGAGAAGACTAAGGTGATTGTTGGGTTCAATTTATGGTGAATTCAAGGATTATAGGCCACTATTGATTGTGGTTCAATGGCTGCAAAGAACTGTGCTATATATTTTGACTAGATTTTATAAATTTTTACAGCAGGAAAGTGAATCCAACATCAGCTAAACAATTATGGTCAGAAATAATGGAAATATTAATTTCACATATATATTAAACTAAATATTTTATTGATACTTTTAATTTGTCAGTATGCATTAGTTTAACCAATATTATGTTAATTTATCCCATATTACTGTGTTTTCATTTCTTTTAGCAATGTTTTTATTGAAAGTCTAATGGGAACAAGTTCTCACAGTTTTATTTGTTTGCTTCCTAATGTGTTGTTTAAATTTTTTTAATTTAATTTTAGGTTTGAAGAATAATTCTATGAGGCATTGTGACACATACTGGCAGTTATTTTCTATCATTTAAAATGTTATTTCATTACTTTCTAGCTCACATTTTTTCATTTGAGTGTTCATATTTTCATCTTTATCTTACTCTTATACAGTATCCCATTTTTCTGACTGCTTTAAATCTTTTCTTATTATCTTTTGTATTCAAAGTCTGATTATGACATAACCTTCTGTACTTTCTTCCTAATAATCTTGTTCAAGACTCAGCAAGCTTCATAACTCTATGGCTGAAAGAGGATGTCTTCAAATATGTGTTTGTTTTCTTTCCAATAACCCTCTTTTCTCCTTTGGGGAACTTCTATTAAATACATGTTAATCTTCTCACCATGTCATGTCTTATAGGCTTTACTGAATTTTTCTCTTCTTTTTTTCCTTTTTTGTGTTTCATTTAAGATATATTTACTGGCCTACTTTCAGGGGATTTTTAAATATTAACACAGTCTACTGAATTCCTAATTTTTGTATTTTTATATTTTAAAAAATTTCATGAAATTAATTTAATTACCATATTTTTAGTTTTAGAATAGCTATTTGATTTTTTATCGGTTCTAACATTTTCTTATTTGTAGTAATTATAAATTTCTAGTCTGCCAGTGAAAAATTTGTATTGTCATTCATTAGTTTATGTCATTTTTCTCTTGATTTTGACGCATTTGGTCCTGTTTCTTGTAATGCCTAATGTGTAAATTATCAATCCATAGGCTCTCAGCTTCAAATGTGCCTTTCATTGTTCTGCTTGTGATACTGAAAAATTTCTTATTTGCCAGGTGGCATAATTTTAAGCTTTTTAAGTAGAGGGCATTAAAGGTATACAAACTTCTTTTGCGCGCGCGCGTGTGTGTGTGTGTGTGTGTGTGTGTGTGTGTGCGTGTCTCAGCCTGCCACCCAGGCTGGAATGGGTTGCAGTGGCGTGATCTCAGCTCACTGCAACCTCTGTCTCCCCAGCTCGAGCAACTCTTATGCCTCAGCCTCCTGAATAGCTGGGATTATAGTGCATGCCACGATGCCCGGCTAATTCTTGTTCTTTTACTACAAATGGGGTTTCACTATGTTGGCCAGGCTGATCTCGAGCTCCTGGCCTCAAGTGATCTGCCCACCTCAACCTCCCAAAGTTCTGGAATTACAGGCATGAGCCACTGTGCCTGGCCTGAAAACTGCTTACTATTTCCTCTTGAAAGGCTCCTGCAGCAAGTAGCAGCCATTAGTGCATGGAACATTTCCAAGGGCAACATTTCCTCAAACCCTCAAATTCCCAGAGAGAATCTTCCAAGTGTACTACTTGTGATAGGTGATTCCCAGTAAGCCTCATGTATGTATATAAATTTTTCCACAAAAAACTCCTCCCAGCACTCCATTGGTTTCTTTTGGACTCCAGATACAGCATCTCCCAACTGATGGCTTTGTTTTGCACTCCAGAGGACAGACTCCTAGCTACTTTCACAGCACAGAATTTTTATGTGGTTGGCCTTCCTGAACCACCAAAGGGATGAATTCCTAAAGATGTCTACCAGTGTGATAACTCAAAATGGCTCCACTGCTTAGTGGATCATAGCAGTGTACGTTCTCAGAAGTTCTAGAGATGAGGAGTACTCTTTCAGATTTCCTTCTTAAATTTGTGCTCTGCTTTATCCCTAAGGGTAGTGATTCTCTTTATAACTGATATCCCTCAATTTTTCAGAGTCTTCTTTCCCCTTGGTTGCTAATATACCATTACTATGATCCCCTATTTTGTTAACAACTTTTTATAATAATCTTTCCTCATTCAAATTGCTCTGCAGTTTATGAATCCTGATTGGCCCATAGTTAGGTCCTAAATCGGTACCAGGAGTGATCCTGTGGCAGGCCGGATCTCATAACAACTGTTTGAGTGCTGAGTGGTTAAATTCTAAAAGCTATTTAAGAGCCAATGCCCTTATACAAAGGCTAGAATGTAACAAAAGTCCACGAAGAGTTTTGCCTAGGCCTTTCCTGGACCTTAAAGCATGACAAAATAATGAAGGAATTTTTAACAAGAACTGTTTAGGATTAAACAAGTTTTATTGGGGGTTTGAAGAGACTCCCCAGGCCTCTACAAACAAGTTTATTGGGGGTCTGAAGGAACTCCTCAAAACTCCATGATTTATCAGGAGACAAGATAAGGGTAATCAACCCAGCACCTAGACCCATTTAGATTAAGTAAATTTACTGAGGCTCCAGAGGAAGGCCTTCAGGACGCTGACCTTAGTTATAGATTTAAGGAAGTTAATCACTTATGTCTTTAGATGAAGACACACTTAAATGCAGGCATATAGCTTAGAAGGTATAATAAGCTCTGGAAAACGTTGTAATTTTGAGCTGGTCTGGAGATTATTTCCAGGCCTTGTCCCTGTAACTGGTTACAGAAATAAAAACTCTCTTCCTCTCCAGTTCATCTGCATCTTGTTACTGGACCACGAGAAACAGCCCGACCTTCAGTTTGGTAGGGGAACAAAAGTTGGCGAGCCAGCCAGGAGAGAATAGGATAGTGCTGCATTCAGTGGCCAGCAGCTTGCCACTAGACAATCTTCAGGAGAATCCAGTAGCTGCTGGGTGAGATTTTCCCAGGGACCCTCCCAAGGGCTGTCCCATGTGCAAAATTACATGTCCCTTTCACTACTGGGAAGAAAGGAGATCAGAAGCAGGTGCACTTGAAGTGTGAGTTAACTGAATCCTATGCCGGGAGCCTATTGTTTCCCTCTCTGGGCTCATTAAGCCATTCGTGTGGTACTGCCAGGGTAGCAATAGGGCTGGCTCATACACCTGCTTTGCATTTCAGTTAAGGTCAGGTTTTGAGTTGCTTTTCAGTCTGTTCTGCCTGAGTGCACTCCCCCTTGTGTTTGTCTGAAATCCGTCTCCACTTGTTTGTGTTATCTGTCTTGTCCCTTTTGATACTGTGTAAACTTGAAAATGAGAAGTATTGGGTCCATTTCTGCTGAGAGACCTCTGGGAAGGAAAAAAGATTGTTTTAGGAGCTCAATGGTTAAAAGTCAGCTTAATTAAAAGCTAACATTTAAGATGTGTATGTGTGCATGTATGTGTGTGTTTGTATTTAAAAGGCCTTCATGTCTTGTTTTTGTTTATTTCTCTCCCAGGACTTTGTGTTTTGGAGCAAAAATATTTTTCTTCTCAGTTTACTGAATTCCATTTTCTTCATTAATAGCTGTTGAAACAGAAGTTGCCCCGGGGGTTTTAAGAAAAATTCCAGTTTACGTACTTAGAAATGTCTTGTTTGGCAAAAATGTTTTAAGTACACTGTAAAAGCATCACATGGTTTAGCCTTATAATAATTCTCCCTTTTAAGCAAAACAGAATTCAGTGCAGGTATCTTATAAAATGCTGTGACAGATTTCTGTAATAATATGTTTGATCTAGCATCCATCTTTAATCTACCTCTAGCACCACCAGACTTTTTATCTGTGTACCTTGAGATGTAAATTTTGCTATCTGATTTTTCACCTAAGAGTGGTTGCCTTCAATATGCAGATTTAAGCATATTTAGATGACAATTTCCAGGGTAAGAAACCAGCTTATCAAGAGTTTGCAAGTCTAAGAAAAAAATGACGTTTTATGAATCTATAAAATGTACTTCTATTGGCATGCCTAATACAGCTGTGTATTATGTGTCGTGTACACAGTATCTCACTACTGAAAAAATAAAAAGAGCTCTAATTAATTGGCTTAAAGAAAATAAAAGCACTTAAATCAAATACTTTAGCAGAAAAAAGAAAAGACTGGTCAAATGCTTTTCCAAGTTTACGTGACTTAAGTAAAATATTTAATAAATTAGCTAGCTTTAAAATTATTGGTAAAGTAATATTAGAAATGTCTTAAGAATTATAAGCATACATTTTTTTGTTTGCATTTATTGATTAAGCAATTTCATACTTATCCCAACCAAATACTATAAAGTATCAAAATTTGGCATAGAGGCTACAAAACTATAAACTCAGCCCAAAACAGAATAATCTTTGCTTATGTAACTTTTAATGAATAAAATATTAATATTGGTTTAATGAAAATAGCTACATCTTGAATTCGTTAGTAAAATACTATAAATTGTAATCATGTGGCTTGAGGCAATCCAGTCCATAGGCATGAAAAAAGTTTGTTCTGAGAAAGGACTGTTACCATCTTTGTTTCAAAGCTACACTATAAACTAAATTAATGAACAAGAATAGCTTGGAGGTTAGAAGCAAGTTCAGATCTTTTTCACTCTCTCGGTTATAATTTTGCAATGGTGGTTTCATCACTTTAAATAAAAACTATCACCTTTTTAATAAATTATCTAGATAAATAATTAAAATAAATAATTAGGTAAATGTAATGGGATAAATACAAACAAGCTTGTCATAATTTAGAATCTAAAGTTATATTAAACAATAGATATTTTATTATTTAGGTATTTTCCAATAAAAATATATTGAAGAAAAACATCCTTTCTAAAAATTGTGTCCTTTTTAAAGGGTAATTGATTTTTGTCTAATTCGAAGCTGATTTAAAGGTTATATATAAAACAAGGTAAAAGGAACGAGGAAATAAGAGGGATATAAAGTTATAAAAATAAAGAGGTATTTTTGGTTTAAAAAAAAAGCTTACAGAAAGATTTTATATAGGCAACGATCTTATATGGTAAATTCTTGTCCTAAAGTAAAATAACTTGTTGTTTAAAAAGAGGGAATGTTTAGGACAAGTCAGAAAGTCAAAGCATGTCAGATTGTTTAAGTTGTGAAATAATTACTAAAGGGGAATTTATGCAAGAAATGCTGTACAGCTTAAAAGTGATTAGGCCTCCTAAATGCTTCATAAAATGCTACTCCAACTCTTAATTGTACAACTTGCCTATTTACAGCTAAGTAAGACCTGGGACCTGTGAACTTAGATGCTGAAAAAAGTCAGACCTTATCTGCACTCCTTAATTTTACATAATTTAAATCCCAAACTTATTAAGGTTTTTACCAAAAGTAAAAGTTACCAAGAGTTGACAGTGTAATATGTATTTGAGACTACTGAAGAAACAGTTTTACATGCAAAGTGTGTAAGGAAAGTAGAATATACTTTTGGTTAAAAGATTATAAGAAGGCATGGGAATGTGTTTTTTTTTAATTTTTTTTTGCCTAAGTTAAAAGCTATAAGGATTATTTTAAGTTACAAAGAATAAAGCTGAAGGTTTAAGCAAGTTGTGGAAGATTGATTGTAAAGAAAATTCTGTGTGTAAACATATTGGCTAAAGTTAAAGGGGTATTATTCAGTTTTTCTGTAAATTAAACATTGAAATAAAAGCACAACAGGTTTCTCTTACAGCACTAATCTGCTCTTCAACAAAAATTATAAAGGTATAAAGGTTTATGACAATCGTAAGTTATGGTCAAACATTAAAATTGGATAAATATGTCTATAAGGCTTTATTAAGAATTAGGTTTAACATCAATAGTACACTAATATAAAGATGAAATTTGGCTTATTTGGTACAAAAGTCATACAAGAAACACTGTCAAATATAAAACTGGGTTTGGCTGGGCATGGTGGCTCACACCTGTAATTCCCGCACTTTGGGAGACTGAGGAGGGCAGACCATGAGGTCAGGAGTTCAAGACCAGCCTTGCCAACATGGTGAAACCCCGTCTCTACTAAAAATACAAAAATTAGCCGGGCAGTAGTGGTGCGCACCTGTAACCCCAGCTACTCAGGAGGCTGAGGCAGGAGAATCACTTGAACCCAGGAGGCAGAGGTTGTAGTGAGCTGAGATCATGCCACTGTACTCCAGACTGGGCAACAGAGTGAGATCCTGCCCCTGACAAAAAATAATAATAAAATGGGGGGGTTTGGCTTTCTTTGGGTTACAGTTGTATAAATATATTATTAGTATATGTTCTAAAATTATGGACAACTTCTATAATTCTGATATATCTTAGTTACATTATCAGTAATCATTATAATTGTTACATTAAATAATTGTGTGCCACAGAGGTAACAGATTTCTTTGTCAATTGTGTCTGATTTGTTTCCTTTGTTTGAATATCTGTGGTAACATCACCTGGGACAGATGACTACCCTATCCTCCATTTAACTCACCAATTTAATCTTTCAGATCTCACAGAATGACTGTGAGCTATTCAGTATTTAATCTGACAATGACTTCAATTGCAACTACTCTTCCAGATATAGCATCCTTACTGGAACAAATCAAGATGGCTCCTAGAATTTAGTGTGTAGCTGTTCACATAGTTAATGCCTTTTCCTCCTATACCATTGTTCAAGGACTATTGAAAGCAATTTGTTTTTATCTGGTGAGACCAAGAACAGACTTTCAAAGTCTTGCCCCTTGACTGTGTCAATTCTCTTGTTCTATGCCATAATATAGTCAACAGTGGTCTTGATTTTGTCATTCCATAAAACATCATACAGGTGCTCTACATTAACCATATTACACCGATTGATTTTTGATGAGCAGGAAGTAACAAGTATTGTAAATTGTTCACTAAGACATGCAGATTTGAGAGTGCATAATAAATCATACAAAAATTTAGGATACCACCATCTCAGTGAAGTGTTCCGCAACCTCACATCATTGTCCCCCATCTGAAGGTTTAGTGATCTAGAGCTTCTGAATATATACCTTACACTGTAAATGTTAAACTTCTTCTCTTTATAGCACCTACCATAAAAACATGCAAACATTTGGATTTTGGAAACAACATATACCACATTTGAATATGATACTTAGATCAACACAGAGTCACATAAACAATCATCAGTTTCAAGTAAGGACAAGAGCAACAAGAGACTCAGAAATAAGTTCAGACCACACTTCAAACCACTCTACCATTTGGGTCTTACAATCCAGAAGATTCAAATGATAATTAAAGTGTCTTTCAGCTAAACTGAAATATTATATTAAACTAGTGGACAGCAAAAATAAGAGAATCTATGACTAAGCAGTAGATCAGGCATGTCCAGATGGTACACTTAATATAAACAAGAAGGTAATTTGGACCCTTTTGATATCAAATCTTTGGCATTTCCTCCTCTTCCTCAATCTATGTGTCCAGAGGCTTTTATGGTTTGCGTGTTCCCTAATACCCATTGACTAAGGAAGAAAAAGCTCAATCCTGGCTTAGAGATAGCTCTATGTGACATGCACATATTAGTCAAAAATGTATAGGTAAGGTGTCATAGACCCACTCAGAAGTAATTCTGAACAAGTGTGATATAAAATATTCTAAACAGACAAAACTTCAAGCAGTACATTGACATTTGATTGCTCACTTTGTTTGGTGTCAGAGATATTCAGAAGCGCGAATCTGCACTAATTCATGGGGAGTTATTAATTGGTTGGCTGGATGGTCAGAGACTTGGAAAATAGCAGAAGTTAAGGACTGGTGATCAAGAAATTTGTGGAAGAGGTATGGATGGACCTTTCAGAATTGGCACAGACTGAAGAAATTTGATTTCCATGTGAATGTCTACAAAAAGTATTCCCTGTAGAGTAGGCTGTTCATAATCAGAAGGACAAAAATGACACACTCTGTGAGTATCAAAAGGCTTTTCCCCAGCCACCCTATTGCTTGGAAAATAAATCTGTGAACAAAGTAGCCATGCTGGCAGAAATATAAGCTATTTATGGGCTCAAAACAACGTATAGGCGTGCCTAAGAGACACTGCAAGTTTGATTCTGAAGGACCACAATAAAGTGAATTTCACAATAAAGCATGACACACAATTTTTTTGGTTTCCCAGAACACATAAAACTTATGTTTAGAGTATACTGTAGTCTATTAAGTGTGCAAAGGTGTTTTGTCTAAAAACACAATGTACATACCTTAGTTAAAAATACCTTAAGACTAGGTGCAGTGGTTCACATCTGTAATCCAAACATTTCTGGAGGCTGAGGCAGAGGAATTGCTTGAGCCCAGGAGATCAAGACCACATGCCTGTGGTCCCAGCTACTCAGGAAGCTGACGTGGGCGGATCTCTTGAGGCCAGGAGGTCAAGGCTGCAGTGAGCTGTTTTTGTACCACTGCACTCCAGCCTGCAAAACAGAGAAAGATCCTGTCTCAATAAAAATAAAAATACTTTATTGCTAAAACATGCTAGCAACCTCTACAGCCTTCAATAAGTCATAATCTTTTTGTTGGTGGGGAGTTTTGCTTCAATGTGCATGACTGCTGACTGATCAGGGTGGTGGTTGCTGAAGGATGCGGTGGCTGTAGTTATTGTTTAAAATAAGGTGGATATGAAGTTTGCTATATCTACTGACTTCTTTTCACAAAATATTGCTCTGTAGCATGTGATGCTGTATGATAGCATTTTGCTGAAGGTAAAACTTCTTTCAAAACTAAGGTCAGTCTTCTTGAAGGCCTGCCAAGGTTATGTAATAAACTTTGTCAACTAAGTATGTGTAACTCAGTTTTGTAATAGTTCAGATATTTTGCTATAATTTCAGCAATGTTCACAACATCTTCACCAGGTGTAGATTCCATCTCAAGAAATCACTTTCTTTGCTCATCCATAAGAAACACCTTCTCTTCCACTGAAATTTTATCAGTCCCATCTTCAGGTCCCACTTCTAATTCTAGTTCTCTTGCTATTTTTACCATATCTGCAGTCACTTGTCCACTAAAGTTTTGAGCTCGTAAAAGTCATCTGTGAGGTTGAAACCAACTTCTTCCAAACTCCTGATGATGTTGATTTTTTGACCTCCTTCCATGGATCATGAATATTCTTACAGGCATGTAGAACAGTGAATCTTTTCCAGAAAGTTCTCAGTTGATTTTGCCCAGATTCATTAGAGAAATCACTGTCTATGGCAGCTATAGTCTTATGAAATGTATTTCTTAAATAATAAGACTTGAAATTGAAATTTGAAATTATTTCTTGTTCCATGGGCTACCAAATTTACATTGTGCTAACAAGCATGAAAGCAACATTAATCTCCTTGAATGAACATCTCCATCAGAGCTCTTGGGCAACTGGGTACATTGCCAATTGGCAGTAATATTTAAAAAATTTTTTTTTTCTGAACAGTAGGTCTCAACAGTGTCCTTAAAATATTCATTTTACCATGCTGTAAACAGATGTACTGTCATCCAGGTTTTGCTCTTCCATTTATAAAGGTTTAACGTAATTCTTAAGGACCCTAGGATTTTCAGAATGGCAAATAAGCACTGGCCTTACTAAAATCACCAGTTGCATTAGCTCCCAAAGACAGAGTTAACTTGTCTTTGAAGTACTGAAGCCAAACATTGACTTATCCTCTCTAGCTATGAAAGCCCTAGAAGGTATCTTTTTCCAATTTAGGGCTGTATCATCTATGTTGAAAATCTGTTGTTTAGTATAGCCATCTTCAGCAATGATATTAGCTAGATCTTCTGGATAACTTGCTGTAGCTTCTACATCATTGCTTGCTGCTTCACCTTGCACTTTTATGTCATGGTGCGTAAAATCTCATGAACCAATCTCTTCTAGCTTCAGGCTTTTCTTTTACACCCTTCTGACCTCTGTCAGCTTCACAGAATTGAAGAGAGGATTAGGGCCTTGCTCTGAATTAGGATTTAGTTTACAGAAATGTTGTGGCTGGTTTGATCTTCTATCTAGACAACTAAAACTTTCTTCCTATTAGCAATAAGACTGTTGTATTTTTTTTATTATCTGTGTGCTCACTGGAATAACACTTTTAATTTTCTTCAAGAACTTTTCTTTTGCATTCTACATCTTGGCTAATTGTTTGAGATAAGTGGCCTAGCTTTCAACCTATTTTGGCTTTCAACATACCTTCCTCACCCTCACTAAACTTAATTATTTCTAGTTTTTAACTTAAAGTGACAGATGTGGGACACTTCCTTTCTCTTTAACACATAGAGGTCATTGTAGATTTATTAACTGGCTTAATTTCAGTATTCTCATGTCTCATGAAATAGTGAGGTCCCAGAAGAAGGAGAGACATGGGCAAACAGTGGGTTGGTGGAGCAGACAGAACACACAGAACATTTATTAAGTTTCCCAGGTTATATGGGTGTGGTTTGTAGAACTCCAAAAGAATTACAACAGTTAACATCAAAGGTCACAGTGGATCACCACGTGTCTAGGCAATGTGGTGAGACCCCATCTCCACCAAAATAATTAAAAATTGGCCAGATATGGTAGCGTGTGCTTGTATTCTCAGCTACTCAGGTGGCTGAGGTGGGAGGACTACTGGAGCCCAGGACTTCAAGGCCACATGCAGTGACCTGTGAATGTGATCGCGATTGCACCACTGCACTCCAGCCTGGGACACAGAAGGAGACCTTGTCTCAAAAATATATATATCACTGATCAAAGATTACCTTAATGAATAACAAAAAAAAAAAAACAGTTTGAAATATTTTGAGAAATACTATAAGGTGATACAGAGACATGAAGTGAGCATATGTTGTTTGAAAAATAGCAGCTACGTATGTGATTGATGCAGGTTGCCACAAACCTTCAACTTGTGAAAAAAGAAAGAAGCAATATCTGCAAAGCACAATAAAGTAAAGCACAATAAAATGAGGCATATCTGTATACCTGTATTTTCTTTTAACCAAGAGTGGCCTGGCTAATTATAACGCTGAGTGTCTAATTTTCCAATAGTTGAGGGGAACACTGAGCCCTAAATTTGTCACCACTGCTTGGATGTAAAAACCAGCAGCCTCATGGCAATTACATTACATTAGACTTATTTCATCAAGGAATGAGAAGATATTCATCCTCACTGTTATAGACACATATTCTGGATATGGATTTTTTTCTTCCCTGCCTGTAACATTTCTGGTAGAAGAACCACCATCTACAGAAGCAAAACTCAAAGAATTACAACAGATATTTAAAAGAGGGTTGAGTGGTATACACCAGGCTATGATTATATCCAAATTTGGACTGTTATGAGACATGTCTGTTATTTTTGGGTTCTACTACAGTTTGCATTGAAATCTCTCTAAAAGTTATTTTCAGAATTGAGTACAAAAAGTATTTTTTACATGTACTTTATAATCTGAGATTACCACTATTAAATTTACATAAACTATGTGCTATGATTTATGAATGATGCCATTTGGTGACTATATTAGTACAGTATCTGGCCTCAGATTTTCTTTTTTTGTTTGTTTGTTTTTGAGACAAGGTCTCCCTGTGTCACCCAGGCTGAGTGCAGTGGTATGATCACAGCTCACTACAGCCTCAACCTCCTGGGCTCAACGGATTCTCCCACCTTAGCCACCCTAGTAGCTGGTACTACAGGTATGCACTACCATGCCCAGCTAATTTTTGTATTTTTTTGTAGAGACAGGTTTCACCATGTTGCCCAGGATCCCTTGAACTCCTGGCTCAAGTGATCCACCTGCCTTGGCCTCCTAAAGTTCTGGGATTACAGGTAGGAGCCACCACGCCTGCTCAAATTTTTAAATTTTTAAAAATTACATTATTATTTCCACATTTGTCATTTTAGTCTTCTCCCTCTCTATAAATGTCAGGTTTTTCTTTTTGTTGCTCAAGCTAAGTTCATCATTACTAGGCTCCCTCTTTGCTTAGTTTGTACCTCCTAGGTTTTCTGAGGCTGAGAAGCTCATAATAAATAGTTAAGTTTTCTTTAGATCTAAATAAAAGCATTTTGACAGATGTCTTAGGTATTCAGTATCCCATTTCTCTTTTGTAGATTAACTGGTATAGTTTTCTCCTCTGTCTTTGTTTGTTAAACTGGATTCATGGGAAAAATAAGACTCCTATTAACTTATATAATTCAAATTTTTATTCTATTAGTTGTTTTATCTTAAAGTAATACAAAAAGAGGGAATCCTCCCTAACTCATTTTATGAGGCCAGCATCATCCTGATACCAAAGCCTAGCAGAGACATAACAAAAAAAGAGAATTTTAGACCAATATCCCTAATTAACAACGATGCAAAAATCCTCAATAAAATAATGGCAAACCGAATCCAGCAGCACATCAAAAAGCCTATCCACCATGATCAAGTGGGCTTCATCCCTGGGATGCAAGGCTGGTTCAACATATGCAAATTAATAAACATAATCCATCATATAAACAGAACCAAAGACAAAAACCACATGATTATCTCAATAGATGCAGAAAAGGCCTACGACAAAATTCAACAGCCCTTCATACTAACAACTCTCAATAAATTAGGTATTGATGGGACATATCTTAAAATAATAAGGGCTATTTATGACAAACCCACAGCCAAGCTACCAATGACTTTCTTCACAGAATTGGAAAAAACCACTTTAAAGTTCATAAGGAACCAAAAAAGAGCCCGCATTGCCAAGTCAATCCTAAGCCAAAAGAACAAAGCTAGAGGCATCACACTACCTGACTTCAACCTATACTACAAGGCTACAGTAACCAAAACAGCATAGTACTGGTACCAAAACAGAGATATAGACCAATGGAACAGAACAGAGCCCTCAGAAATAATATCACACATCTACAGCCATCTGATCTTTGACAACCCTGACAAAAACAAGAAATCGGGAAAGGATTCCCTATTTAATAAATGGTGCTGGGAAAACTGGCTAGCCATATGTAGAAAGCTGAAACTGGATCCTTTCCTTACACCTTATACAAAAATCAATTCAAGATGGATTAAAGACTTAAATGTCAGACCTAAAACCGTAAAAACCCTAGAAGAAAACCTAGGCAATACCATTCAGGACACAGGCATGGGCAAGGACTCCATGACTGAAACACCAAAAGCAATGGCAACAAAAGCCAAAATTGACAAATGGGATCTAATTAAACTAAACAGCTTCTGCACAGCAAAAGAAACTACTATCAGAGTGAACAGGCAACCTACAGAATGGGAGAAAATTCTTGCAATCTACTCATCTGACAAAGGGCTAATATCCAGAATCTACAAAGAACTTAAACAAATTTACAAGACAAAATCAAACAACTGCATCAAAAAGTGGGTGAAGGATATGAACAGACACTTCTCAAAAGAAGACATTTATGCAGCCAAAAGACACATGAAAAAATGCTCATCGTCACTGGCCATCAGAGAAATGCAAATCAAAACCACAATGAGATACCATCTCACACCAGTTAGAATGGCGATCATTAAAAAGTCAGGAAACGACAGATGCTGGAGAGGATGTGGAGAAACAGGAACACTTTTACACTGTTGGTGGGACTGTAAACTAGTTCAACCATTGTGGAAGTCAGTGTGGCCATTCCTCAGGGATCTAGAACTAGAAATACCATTTGACCCAGCCATCCCATTACTGAGTATATACCCAAAGGATTATAAATCATGCTGCTATAAAGACACATGCACAGGTATGTTTATTGTGGCACTATTCACAATAGCAAAGACTTGGAACCAAGCCAAATGTCCAACAATGATAGACTGGATTAAGAAAAGTGGCAATATACACCATGGAATACCATGCAGCCATAAAAAAGGATGAGTTCATGTCCTTTGTAGGGACATGGATGAAGCTGGAAACCATCATTGTGAGCCAACTATCGCAAGGACAGAAAACCAAACACCACATGTTCTCACTCATAGGTGGGAATTGAACAATGAGAACACCTGGACACAGGATGGGGAACATCACACACCGGGGCCTGTCATGGAGTTGGGGGAGGGGTGAGGGATAGCATTAGGAGATCTACCTAATGTAAACGATGAGTTAATGGGTCATTTACCACCATGGCACATGTATACATATGTAACAAACGTGCACGTTGTGCACGTGTACCCTAGAACTTAAAGTATAATAATAAAAAAAGTTATATTTTTGTAACGTGTTACTTCATTTTTTGATATTTTTCTCTGCCTAACACTGCCATCCTTCATGAACACACACTCACATACACATTCATAAGTCACAGGCAATTTACCCCTGCAAATAACGTGTGTGTGTGTGTGTATATATATATATAATTTCAAGTAAGGTTAGTATTATCAAAACTATTTATACAAAGCAATATATCCATTCATTATTTCATGACTGAACATATCAAAATTGTTTAGTCCAGGAAAATAATAATTTTCTATTATCCACTATATACAGAAAAAAATAGTTTCCCATAGCTTCAACCCAAGCAGAATAACATCAGAACCTGATATTTATAAAATGCTTTTAGAAACATTATTACCTTTATTCATAACAACAGGCCTCAGAAGTGGATGATTAGAAAAGTTAAGTTACTTGCCCATATTCACACCCTTACTTACTGAATGAGATAGCCAGCATTCAAAGACAGGTTTTGTGTCACAGAGGTCAACATTGCATTACGTAGTTTCTGTTTACAGTACCACCTCTTTTAAATGAAGTTTAATTTAATTTAATTCACTATTCAGTATCCCAATTCTCATATGCCCGGTATAAATTCAGTGTACTTCTAACCAAAGTTACATCTCTAAATTTTCTTAAAGGAGTGTGTTCTCTGCACAGCCTCTTTTTAAACAGAGGCAACTTCTTTTATTTGATTCACAAAAGTAAGGTGTCACAGAAATGTAAAGCATTGACTTTTTACAATTTCATTTTTTTTTAGGAAAAATTTTATTTTTTTACACACTTTCAGTAGTTTGAACATTTATTCATACCTGATATATACTATCCTGTTTTCTACTTCACTCAATTCTATTTTCAACAAGTGCCAAGATATTATATGAACCAAACCTTAAAATAATGGCTGTGGGGTTAGGTTTCTCAATAAGAAAAATCTACACCTATCTCTCTACATTCATCAAGATCACCAGAAGTTAAAAAAAAAAGTCTAATGTAAAATAAAACAAAACAGTCTTTCACTTGTAGAGGAGGACGAATTTTCTCAATCATTTTAGGGTTCCTAGATGGGCATGAAAATAAAACTGACAAAGACAGATTAACACAAGAAAAGCATGCAAATTTATTTAACAAGTTTTGTATGACATGAGAGTCCTCATAAATAAATGATGATCCAAAGAAACAGGAAAATCTGTGTATGTTTTATGCTAAATCTAATGAAGAAGTGGATAGCTGTAGAGAAATATGATTGGACAAAAAATGGTAAGATGTAATGTTAACCAACTGGGAAAAACTCAGTAAGGTCTGTTAGTCCATATCCTTCTCTGTGTTCTATGGCTTCAGGGATAAAGGGCATTCCTTCCTTCTGGGTAGAGAAAGAACCCATTTGGGATGAGGGTGTTACTTCAGCTGGGATTTATGGCTCGCTTCAGGGAAGAAAGGATAAAGGGAATTTCAGTTTCTATAGCATGCTTCAGGAGAGAGAGAGGTAGGAGAATTTCAAAAAACCTTCCTCCTGTGGTTTTCTTAGTTTCCTTCAGCTCAAAATACTCAATATGCCATGATGTCTTATTTTGGGGTATCGACTTCCGAGCCCCAACACAACCAACCCCATTTTAATCCTTTTGAAATTCATCTGCATGTACTGAAAATGTATAAAAGCAAAATTAGGCAGTCTTAGAATTTATTGACTCTAAAAAATACATTCTCGGCATCTATTTAAATTTATGATTTAAAAAATTATAGGCAAATCTAAAAATGTGTAAGAAGATATAAATTTTAAAACACTCTTCTAAGGGTATTTGATCAAACTTATTAAAGTTAGCCACCTTTCAATACTATGTGTTGATTTTTCCTGTCCAGGAAAAGCAGATGGAATGAAAAGTGTGATTATTTTCTCTTCCCCATCAGCAAAGTCTGCTATTTGAAATAAAGGAGCAAAATAAATAGATACATATAATTATTTCATAAATCATCATTTGGCTAAAAGGAATATGTGTTTCATTTTTACATTTCAATAAAATAAGAGGTTGTTATTGGAAATACTCATGGCTGTACGATATCTGCCTTTAATGAATAAGTCAAAGTGATAAGAAAACTAGCCTAGGCCTCAAAAGAGAATTAACTACAAGGCACTAGGAACTCCCCTGTGAATTGCTTCTCTAGACAGACACAGGGCAAGAATAACTGATAAAAGTTTGCATTTGCATTTACCAGTGAGCATTTCTTCAGAGAAAACTTTTTACCTGTCAGCAGTCTTCAGTGTTCTAGAGTTTCCCTCTCTGCTTATTCAATTTATCACAAAATACTTGAAATATACAAGACATGCAAAGAACAATATAACAAATCCCCATGTGCCTGTCAACCAGATTTAAGCAATGTTAACATTGTGCTGTATTTGTATTTATACAGAAATAAAAAATTAACTGATGCAGATTTTACCTACTTTATCCTCCTACCCAAACATTCCCTTCTCTTTCTCCTCAGATAGAGTTGGTGAATATTTATATGTATTATACTTTTACTGCATATGTACATAAGCATATACCTATAAAATCTAAGATATTTTGGGTACTTTTCGGCTTTGGATGAATTAAATAATATTGTGTGATCTCTTCCCCAGTTTTCTCCCTTTAACAATATGCATTCAAGAATTGTTGTAAAATAGGCATACTCTAGTTGTCATTTTATTTCTTGAGTATTACTCCATTTTATGAATTAACAAACCACAATTTTATTTATTCTTTCTTCTTTCTAGATACTTAAGGTCTCCCTCCCTTGCTTTTCTGTTGATTTAGTTTTGGTATTACACATTTGTTGAAATGAATGCCACCGTCAATAAAAGCAAATCTAGAGTTGAAAAGGAAAGGTTTGATTCAGAAGAAAGACGATAGGGAGAACACTCTAATCTCAGAAATCTTCAAGTGTCTCCAGATGAAACAGAAAAAGATTTTCATTTTATTGAGTAAAATATAAGTAGAATGTTTTAAAGGGAATTTGATCAGGCAAAAGAAAATGGCCAGTGGGGTCTGACAAAGAGTCTCACTATGGCCAGTAGATACCCAGCAGAAGCTGATGAGAAAGCACATTCTACTTTTTTGGTCCTTGCTCAGACTTGTGGGCATGAAGAATATAAGGTCATGGAGGAAGGAGAGAAACCTTACTAATATTTAGTCAAGATAAAGCAAAAGGTAAAAAACGGCAATTGTGAACACTTAGTTTGTCCTCTCTGTTATTTAAGACATGAAGTCTTTTCTTAAACACTATTAGCGATGGAATAAGAATCACTGTGAAGTTGAGGCTGATCCAAGTAGTTTATAAGGGTAGGGAACCCTTCACATTCTTATTGGCCATGAAGCACTACCCACTGTACCAAATGTGGAACATGCTGTCAAACTGATAGCTGTTTTACGGTCTTAGAGATTGGGCTGTTAAAGTGAGGCCTACTGGACAAGTTACTGAATCTGGGGAAAGTAATAATGATAATAAAATGAGGCATATCTGGGAATAAAATAGAAAGACTAGCTGTTAAAGAATGAACACATGATTAAAACCAAGATCGGAGGTTTGAAGAAAGCCAGTTGAAATTCAAAGATCTAAAACATGCCTAAAACATGCCTAAAACGTCTTCATTCAGATGGTAGAGTGAAGACAGCAGTGGCAATCTGATACATTTCCATTTGTGGTCTGAATATTTTTGGTGATGGCACAGACATCAGAGAGGATTCTGGGAAAATATTCACAACAATGCCTTCCAACCACTGTGAAAGTGGCCCTTCCAGAATCCAGAATCCAGAATCATGACCAATGCCAGAGGATTTTGAAGGACTGTGTTCCTGCAGCTCTCTAGCATCGTAGTTTTGGTAAGATTGTCCAGAGTCACGGATGTTTCCTGGAACACAGCAAGGAAGATGCAGGAGTGCCAGTAAAATTCCTGAGTGGCCCACATAGCAGCAAGTCCAGGCACAAAGGTTGCCCATACATGATCTACTGCAACAGTCAAGTCTTTTTGGTTACTCCCAATATTTTAGCCTTTTGTCCCAAGTCTTCTTGAGAACTTGATGAAAAAGGAAGGTCACAGCCTTCTTCCAGGCCTGGGATTGTGTGCCTAATTTTGTAGTTGTAACACATATTTGTAGAGCTTTTGGGTAACCTAGCTCCCGATAAACTTAAATCATGCAGAAAAGTAGTTACAACAAAAAAATAAAAAAAGGTAGTCTGGTTAGAAATTTAATAAGGGCTAATTCGGTTAACTAGATAACAGGATCCAGTTCAATTAGCAGGTAGATACCAATAGGCATGGCTGCCACAAATAATATATACCTTATTAGGGACTATTTGGGATTCACAGAAATAATTGTCCTATGGTTTTGCATCTTGGAATTCAAATTAGTTCTTTTGATAGAGATGCTGTTCTATCCAATTGGGAAGGGTAACATAATCATGTTGTTGCTTCTAGAACAGAGAGTTCCAAGCATACCTGGTAAGATTATGTTTAGGATCATCTAAGTCTAGTAGATTGATATGACAGCCAGACTTATGTGCTGTTGCCTTCTATGGTAATAGTGTAGGTATTTGTATTGGTGGCAACATAGTTATAATCGTAAATACTTAGGCTCATGAAAGAGAGCTTAGTTATGTTATGATACAAGCAATTTCCCTTTTTAGAAAAGCAATGATATTGAAAGAGGTTGCTTTTGAAGAATAGAGTAGAAGTATTAATAAAAAGGTTCCTTTGTGACAATACAAAGGATACCCTTAAATCTGATACGGGTTAGGATTTAGGGGAAACCAGAGGCTTTCAAAGAAAAGGAAATTCATAGTCAACAAGCCAAAAGTAAATTTGGCAGATTGTGCTAGAAATTAAGTGAAGGAATGTCATAGTCTTTGGGGTCCTTTCATGGGTGGAGAAATTATTAAAGGGCTCATTCCATATGACTGGGATGATAGAGATAATGCCATTTGGAGGATAAGAGAAGAAAAACTCGAATTGCTTGGATGAAATTACCAGGGTCCATTGATCATTTGAAAGAACTAGTGGAATTCCCTATGTAGAGAGTTCTATATAGGGAATTTGTTCTAACAAAAGTTTATCAGCAGCAGAGACAGTGGCCCTTTTGCAAGTTCTCGTAGTCCATTCAGGCTGCTATAACAAAATACCATATACTAAGTAGCTTATAAACAGCAGAAATTTATTTCTCCTAGTTGTGGAGGCTGGAAAGTCCAAGATCAAGGCACTGGCAGACTTTGAGTCTGGTGAGGACCTGTTTCCTGGATCACAGATAGCACCTTCTTGCTGTGTTCTCAGATGGAGGAAGGGATGAACAAGCACCCATGGACCTGTTTTATAAGGGCACTAATCCCATTTATGAGGGCTTCATCCCCATGACCTAATCACCTCTCAAAAGGCCTGACTTCCTAATATCATCATCTTTGGGGTTAGGAATTCAACACATGAATTTGGGAAGGACACAAAAATTACGTCTATTGCACAAGAGAAAGTGTCAAGCTAATTAGAGAACACATAAATGATAGTGATATAGTTTGTCTCTATGTCCCCACCCAAATCTCATGTTGAATTGTAATCCCCAGTGTTGGAGGAGGGACCTGGTGGGAGGTAATTGGATCATGGGAATGGATTTTCCCCTTACTGTTTTCATGATAGTGAGTTCTCATGAAATCTGGTTATTTAAAAGTGTGTAGGACTTCCACTTTGCTCTCTCTCCTCCTGGCCATG
Organism: Homo sapiens; assembly: GCF_000001405.40. Taxonomy (NCBI): domain Eukaryota; kingdom Metazoa; phylum Chordata; class Mammalia; order Primates; family Hominidae; genus Homo; species Homo sapiens. The sequence goes on from NC_000002.12 coordinate 52,281,431, forward strand.
TGAAGATGTGCTTCCTTCCCCTTTGCCTTCTGCCATGATTGAAAGTTTCCTGAGGCTGCCCCAGCCATGCTTCCTGTACAGCCTGCAGAACCATGAGCCAATTAAACCTCTTTTCTTTATAAATTACTCAGTCTCAGGTAGTTCTTTATAGCAGCATGAGAACAGATAATATGGATAGTAAGGACATATTAACAACAATGAGATTTAGGGAATTGAATAAATTGAATTGCTAGTGAAGAAAAGGCCTTGCTGGAGTAGTTTTCTTTCTTGCCCCACCTTTCCAGCTTTACTAAGGTTATGTTTTTGACAGATGGGGCAGGGAGCCACCACTTGTCCCAGGTAGGGGGTAAAGTTTTTTCACCAATGGTAGCAGAGGGGCTGGTTTTGTTTCTTGTTTCCATAATAAGTGATTTTATAAAGGCCAGAGACTAAATTTTAGTTGAGGAAGTGAGGAGAATCCAAGTGGCTATCTGGATGTTTCAAGAGTCCATCTGGTTGGATAAAATATCTGACTTGTTTCCAACTGGCCTTTTCATTCAAAACCAGAGGTTTGGAAATGGAAGATTTTAAGTACCTGAATTAGAGAATCAGGGATAATCAGAGTATATTTAAGATCTTATCTGATTGTGGTAAGACTGAGAAAGATTAATGAGCTATTGGTTTAGCATATCTATCAACCAGATAATTTTCCTTTTCTTCTGGGATTTTATTACCCATATAAGCTTCTGCCCTTAGATATATCTATGTTCTTTGACAATAAAAAACTTCTAAGAAGTCAGGCACTGGTTTTCCATTTTTAATTGGTGCCCCAACTGTTGTCTTAAATCCTGTGGTTTTTCAAAACACACCAAAATCATGTATTACTACCCTGAAATCATACCAACTGTCTATAGAGATGTTAGGTCTCTTGATTTCAGCCATAGAGCCGGCTCTTGTGAAAGCCACAATGTCAGAAAATTGAGCTGACTTTGTACCAGGTAGAGACTTATATCATATGGGATTTTAGAAATCTGTAGCAGCATATCCTACCTGAAAACTTCATTTTGAAGTGTGAAGATAGGCACCACCAACAAAGAGGGTCAGCTCAGGATTTGCAAGAGGGATTTCTAAGAGATCTGGGTGGGGATAAATTGAAAATAGAAAGGCCATAATACCACCATGCAGTTTTCCTTCATCTGGTAAAGGTAGGAGAGTGGCATGATAGATATTCTTGACCTCATGGTATGACCTAGCAGAAGGACAGCTGTGTCTTGAACTAATTTTGCAGTTGCCTCAGATGAAAAGATTAACATTCCAACTGGAAAGCAGATCTTTACCTAATAGATGAACTAAATTGTATAAGTTAATAAAAAGGTATGTTGGGCCTCATGGGGTCCAAGAGGCATAGAAAAGGTTTAAAAGGCAGAACATGAGAAAAATTATCTAACAGCACCACAGACATTACATACTGTGAGGATTTGTGGTGGAGAATTATGAAGTGTCAGGGTAGAGCAGGTGGCTACACTGTCTACTGGAAAGTAGTGGGGTGTCAATTCACTGGGGTAATTATTACCCCTAGAATGCTTAAGACCATTTGGGGAAAGACAAGAGTAGATCCTTCAGAGAGGAGTCACTGAGACTGAGATTTATGATTATCTTTCAGCTCTGGGGCATTCTTTAGCCCAGTATCATTTTCCCAGCAATATCCACAGGGATCTCTACTAAAGACTTTGGTAAAGTTGAAGTTTGCCCTAAGGTTTTAGATTTATTTTCCTCAAGTTGTTTAAGTAGAAGAACCATGAACTTGTATTGTGCAAATTTAGGTTTATCAGCCTGTATATCCTCATTGTGCTGTGCTAAAAATGGATTTCAAAGAGGGGAGTGTTTTGCCAATTAACGTGATGTTTTTAAATAACCTTTCTTAGTTCTATATACAGTCCATTAATAAAGCTGGTAACCAAGGCAAATGCCATGTAGTCAAGTAGAGTTAGACTTCAAAAATGTTTCTAGACATTTGCTAGGAGTGTAAGAGCTTTTCTCCAATTTCCTTAATTCTGCTATACACCTCAGGGATATTTTGGTTTATTTTTAAATCCTCTTTAACGCTAACCTAATCCCCTTTTTCAAATCATAAGACAAGGCCTACAAGGAGTTGAACCAATTGTTAGAGGCATAGGAGTCCCAGAGAGTATTGCCCTAAAATTAACCTAAATTGTGTAGAAAATTTCTCTCTATTTTTATCTGGGTCAGGGAAATTCTCAATTGTAGCATGCAGATCAGATTGGGACCAATATTCAAAGATAATTCTCTGGGGAGGGGTATTGTACCCCTTCAGTCCCTTGTCCTTGGTGACCCAATCCTTGAGAAGCAAGACTGAGGTCACAGGTCACCATGAAGAATTGAGAAGTTGGAAGAGCCAGGGTGGAGTCAGGGAGTGAAGGATAAACACAAGGTGGCCAGAGCAAGGTTGTAGGAGAGACTGCAACTTGGACAAGCAGAAGGGAAGGAAGGGGGGAAGTGTTGAGGACAAGGGTATCTTAGAGTCAGGGATAAAAGTGAAATTGGCCCAATTGTCCCAGGAAAATAATATTTACAGATTTTTGAATAAACATAGAAAATGACCCTCCCAGACTTAAACCTTGAAACTTATATTTGTGTCATCTGAGTTCCTTCCTCAGGAAACCAAACCTCAGCAAGGAACTGAGACTCATCAGATCACCACATTCAGGCAGTGAGATGCCAGACCCCTCAACCATCATGATCATTTCTTTGCCTTTTCCCACCTCCCCTGCTACATAAGCCCACAAATTTTAGTGATTTGGCAGAATGGATTTTTTTTCCCCTCACTTTCCTCAGCAGCAGTACCCGATTAAAGCCTTCTTCTCTGACAATACTCACTATATCAGTGATTGGCATTCTGTGCAGTGAACAGCAGAACTAAGACCAAACCCCTGGCATTTCAATAAGAAAAGAAAGAGTAGCATTGGAGGCAACACATGGTCCTTAAAAGACTGAGTAGAACAGCTTTCAATAAGTTAGGCTGAGAACATTGAAGGACCTGATTGAGATTTGAATGAGGAAGAAGTTTTTCAGCTTCTTTCACAACAACAAAAATAATAATAATAAAACAGACCATTGCTAAGAAGACATTCTGAACTCCTAAGATTTAAGAGCTACCTGAGGTGGACTAAGTCAAGGAGGTCCCCAAAGTCTTAGAGTGGCTGTAGCAATTCCAAGTTATCCTTTGTAATACTTTGTGATTTTCAAAGGCATTGGACCAAATTAGTGCCACAGTGGTGAAGCATATAGTCAGCTGGAGTTAATCTACTTTTAGTCCCAGGAGATTGAGAGTTACTCATGAGAGGAACAGTAAAGAAAAGAGCCACGTAGCAACAAATCAGTTCCAGTTCCATGCTCAATCCTCATTTGGGAGCCAAAGGGGGTCTGTATTAGTCCATTTTCTATAAGGAACTACCCGAGACAAGTCAATTTATAAAGAAAGGGGTTTAACTGATTCACAGTTACACAGGCTGTACAGGAAGCATGACTGGGGAGCCCTCAAGAAACTTACAATCCTGGCAAAAGGCAAAGGAGAAGCAGGTACTTCTTACATAGCTGGGGCAGGAGAGAGAGTGAAGTGGGGGAGTACTACACACTTTTAAACAACCAGATCTCATGAGAACTCATTCACTATCCTGAGAACAGCAAAAGAGAAGTCTTCCCCATAATACAACCACCTCCCACCAGGCACAATGCCTCCAACCTCTTTGCTAATGCAAAACAAAAGTGACCTTTGCTCCATTTCCCAGTAAGTTCCTCATCTCCATCTGAGACCATCTCATCCTGGACTTAATTGTCCATATCACTATCAGCATTTTGGTCACAACAATTTAACAAGTCTCTAGAAAGTTCCAAACTTTTCCTCATCTTTCTGTCTTCTTCTGAGCTCTCCAAACTATTCCAACCTCTGTTCATTGCCTAATTCCAAAGATGCTTCCACATTTTCAGGTATCTTTATATCAATGCCCCCCCTCTCAGTACCAATTTTCTGTATTTGTCCATTCTTGAATTGCTATAAAGGACTACCGAGACTGGGTTAAAGAAAAGAGGTTTCATTGGCTCACAGTTCTAAAGACTGTACAGGAAGCATGTCTGGGGAGGCCACAGGAATCTTACAGTCATGGCGGCAGGCGAAAAGAAAGGAGGCAGCCAGGCACGGTGGCTCAGGCCTATAATCCCAGCACTTTGGGAGGCCGATGTGGGCGGATCACAAGATCAGGAGATCAAGACCATCCTGGCTAACACAGTGAAACCCCGTCTTTACTAAAAAAATACAAAAAATCAGCCTGGCTTGGTGGCGGGCTCCTGTAGTCCCAGCTACTCCGGGGGCTGAACCATGGGAATGGCTTGAACCTGGGAGGCAGAGCTTGCAGTGAGCCGAGATTGCGCCACTGCACTCCAGCCTGGGTGACAGAGCGAGACTCCGCCTCAAAAAAAAAAAAAAAAAAAAAAGAAAAAGAAAAAGAAAGGAGGCACATACTACATGGCTGGAGCAGTAAGAAGAGTGAAGGGCAAAGGGGTAAGTGCTACACACTTTTAAACAACCAGATCTCACGAGAACTCACTATCATGAGCATCACAAGAACAGCATGGGAGATGTACACCCCCACAATCCAATCACCTCCTGCCAGGCCCCTCCTCCAACATTGAATATTACAATTCAACATAGATTTGGGGACACAGAGGCAAACCATATCAGGGTCTTTCATGCAATTTCTGCTGAGAAGCAAAGGGGTTGCTCTATACAATCCCTAAATAAGAAATTATGAAAAGCAATGAGGCCTCACAAAAGAGCAGAGAATTTCCTACTAGAGAGTCATGTTGTAAATTCCCACTCAAAAAATCCAAGAAAATGTCCATCTTCTGGAAGGAAGATGATTTTCTCTTCACCACAAAATTGACCAGAAAAGGGCCAGCAGTGTCCAGTTCAATAGAAAAAATCAGGGATTAAATCCCCACTTAAAAGGCCAAAAAGGCTTCCTTCCAATAATATTCTTGCTAGAACAGAAAAAAGCTAGGCAAAGTCCTACTCAAGCAGCAAGGAACCAGGAAGAGCCCAATTTAATAGAATTAAAGCAACTCACTATCATGCTACTACAGAAAAATGTGCAGAGCACTGGATTAAGACTTATAAGTCACCACCATGGATCACATTTTCTCCAGCCAGAAATAACACAAAGAGTTTAAGAAGCCAGCATGAATGACTGGGAAAGACAATAAGGTCTCAGGGCACATCAGGAATCAGGACCCTATTTAAGTCATGGCACCAGAAACTGTCAAATAAATGCAAATCCGGACTTAGAGAGTGAGAGCTTTACTCAGAAAAAAGACTATTGCAATAGGCAAAATATTCCAATCTCAGAAATCTAAAAGCATCTTAAAATCAAACAGTAAAAGACTTTTTCATTTATAGGTTAGAGAGAGGCAAGCAAACATAAGCAGAGTCTATTTTAAGGGAGAAATTTGACACAAGGCAAAATCACCAGTGGGGTCTGACAAGGTCTTTCTGTAGTCAGCTGCCTTTCAGGAGAAGTATTCCATTATTTTTGGTGCTTTCTCAGGCTTGGGGGTAAGCAGAGTTTGGGAGCCTATAGGAAGGAGTGAAGACTGACTAAAGTTTGGTCAAGACAAAGCAGAGGGAAAGAAATGGCAATTGTGAACACTTGGTCACCTGTAAACATATTCCTCATGTTTATGTGTGAGGGTTCTATATGACAAGGATCAGAAAACATTTTTTGGTAAAGGAAGAATAATAAATAATTTACCCTTTGTGGCCGTTTGGTCTCTGTCACAACTACTCAACTCTTCTATTGTAGCTTGGAAGCAGTCATAGATAAGCCTAAAGGAATAGATGGGATTCTGTTCTAGTGTAACTTTGTTCCTGGGCCAAACTAAGGGTTAGGCTGCTATTTCTCATGGCCCAATAATGAGATGCAGATGAACTGGGGAAGAAGAGAGTTTTTATTTCTGTAACCAGTTACAGGGAGAAGGCCTGGAAATTTTCACCAGACCAACTCAAAATTACAAAGTTTCCCAGAGCTTATATACCTTGTAAGCAATATGTCTATGTGTAAGTGTACATTCATCTAAAGACATAAATGATTAACTTCTTATAATCTATAACTAAGGTCTCAGTTTGGAACACCTTCCTCTGGAGCCTCAGTAAATTTACTTAATCTAAATTGGTCCAGGTTCTGGCGTGATTACCCTTATCATGTCTCCTGATAAAGTCACCGAGGTTTGGGGAGTTCCTTCAAACCCCCAATAAACTTGTTTCTGGAGGCATGGGGAGTTTCTTTAGACCCCAATAAAATTTGTTTAATCTTAAATGGGTCCTGTTAAGAATTCCTTCCTTATTTTGTCATGCTTTAAGGCCCAGGGAAGGCCTAGACAAAACTCTGGATGGGCTTTTGTTACATTCCAGCCTTTGTATAAGGGCACTGACTTTTTTAGCTTTGAATATTCAACTTAACCACTCAGTCAGTACTGAAACAATTGTTATGGAGGCCTATGTTAGTAAGAACTGCCTTCCACCATCCCCATTGTCAATTTGCACATGATATCTATCATGCTTGTATATTTATTTATCACTGGAATCATAGGGAGATGGAGCATTGTAATCTTTCTGGCTACTTCCTGCTGAAAGGGTTCATCGTTACAGGGCACCGAATGCAGTGCTGGAGTGGAAGAGGTCAATTTGCTCCCAGTAGCACTCTCTGTTTCAGGGGCTTAGAGGCAGCATCTGCTGAAACATAATAGTATGCAACAGCAACAGATATAAATACGTTGCTGCTGTTTTCTTCTGAAGTTTAAGTTGTTTAGTCTTCAGTTTGCAGGGCTTTAAGAAACTACAGCTTAGGTTTCAGTAATTTCCAATTAGGATGAATGGGGGAAAATGGAAAAGAAAGAGGAAAAAATTGAAAACATTATTTTGGAATCTTGTAGCCAGAAAAATCAGAATTTAATCCAATCTGTAGAAAATAATAAAAACTGAAAAACATCAGGCAAGACTAGAATTTAACAACTGGTATACTATAGTTTTTGAAACATAATTTTTCTGTCTCCAGTATCTCATTTTTATTAAAAGACAAATCATGGAATGACTGGTTTGCTTTATTATAATTGGCTTAATTATTTGTATACAGTGCAGCAAGAATAATTATTTTTCACATAGGCCTTTTAAACTGGCTTTGATGGAATGTTGTTCCATAGAAGGAATCTGAGATAAAACATTTTAAGGCCAAGCCCAGACATGGATTTGTACCATCAAATACCTATGAGTTGGCTGAATTCCTCTCCTCTTGAGGTTCCAAGATAATCTGGGGTTCCTGGCCTGTCAGAAAGTGACATTCTTTAGTTACCACAGATCAGAAACCCTGTACATGGACTGTGTACACAAAATATGATGCCAGTTTCCAAGGGCTTTATTGCCTCCATAAGTCAGGTTTGATTCCTAAAAGGAAAGCACACCATTCCATTCAAAGCCTTGGTAAAAGAATCAGTTTTTCCTACTGTGTTCTGTTACAAAAGAAAACAGAATCTTATTGCAGTTATGCAAATAATTATATTGACTCACAAGTCATTTCAAAATTCTGGAGAAATCAGGTAGAGAGAAACAAATATGCTCAAAATTGTGTTTATAGGAGTATACTTTATGTAATTGTTAAAAAGCTGTTACTACCTCAAAAGAAAGGTTCCTTCGCTCTGAAAAGCAAAACAAAGGATTAGCAACATTTTAAGCAGAAAGTCAAAAAGATCACTTCAGTCTCCAACTAGCTCAGTTCATGCAGTTAATTCCTGTCCTGCTTGATATTAGTGAACATTTTAGCTCTTCAAGAGTCCTAAAAGTTTTTCCTCTATTCTGATTTCACAATCTCTACAGTTATCAGAAACCTGCATTCAAGAGCACCTGTTAGAGCTTTATAGCTGATTATAAAACCACCTTCTAAAGAGGACCAAAATAAGACAACAATTGTTTATGGGTAACAAAATGTTTTAGGGTAGTCTTAGTTAAAGACACAATTGACAAGGAAATCTGTTACCTCTATAGCACACAATAATTTAGCATAACAATTATAATTATTACTGATAATGTACACTAAGATATATCAAAATTACAGGAGCGTCCCATAACTTTGGAACACATACCAATAACATATTTATACAAATTTAGCCTAAAGAAAGCCAAACACATGTTACACTGTTAACTCTTAGCAACCTTTACTTTTGGTGAAAACCTTGGTAAGTTTGGGATTTTAATTATGTACTGGGTGTGGAGCCTAGGACCTAGACAGAAGTGCAGATAAGGTCTGACTTATTCAAGCCTCTAACTCCATGTGTCCCAGGCCTTACCTAGCTGTAAAGCAGGCAAGTTTTACAGCTAAGAGTCACAGTAGCATTTTATAAAGCATTTATGGGGCCTAATCACCTTTAAATTGTGTAACATATCTTGCATAAATTCCTTTGCATAAATTCTTTCATGACTTACACAGACAAACTATGACATGCCTTGACTTTCTGACTTGTTCTAAACATCCCTCTTTTTAAACAACCAGTTATTTTACTTTAGGACAAGAATTTAACATACCAGATCCTTTTTTATAGAGAATCTCTTTTCTTTGATATCTTTTTGCATAGCTAGGGGCATGACTAATTTCATAAGTCCTCAGGCCTTATCTAGAATTTAGCACTCCAAAACATATTGAACAATTTTTAAGTCAAAGAAGCAGTTTGTGACCTAAAGCATTTAGCAAACCTAATATTTGACCTGCATAATTTAGACCAAATGTTTACATTTTCAATGATATTTTTATTTTACCTATAATCTTTAAAATTCTCTGTATTTTTATAACTTTCTTCGTATCTCTCTTACTTCCTGGTTTCTTTTACCTTGTTTTATATGTAACCTTTAAATAAACTGAATTAGACAAAAATTAGTTACCATTTAAAAAGGACACAATTTTCAGAAGGAATGTTTTCCTACAATATATTTTTATTGGAAAATACCCAAATAATGAAGTATCTGTTGTTTAATATAACTTTAGATTCTAAATTGTGACAAGTTTGTTTACAAGTATTTATCCCATTACATTTATCTAATTATTTATTTTAATTATTTACCTAGATTGCTTATGAAAACTGTGATCGTCATCATTTAAAATTATGAAAGCCATTGCAAAATTATAGCTGAGACAGTGAAAATGATCTGACCTGATTCCATCTTGCTTCTAACGTCCAAGCTATACTTTTTCATTAACTTAGTTTATAGTTTAGCTTTGAAACAAAGATGATAACAGTCTTTTCCCAGACAAACTTCCTTCATGTCTGTGAGGCCACAAGATTAAAAGTTAAGGTATATTGCTAAATAATTCATGATGTAGCCATCTTCATTAAACCAATATTAATGTTTCACTGATTAAAAATTACAAAAGCAAAGATCACTCTGTTTGGGGCTGAGTTATAGTTTTATAGCCTCTGTGCCAAATTGTGACACCTTATAGTATGTGGCAGAGATAAGTATGAAATTTTTGATAAATAAATGCAAACAAAAATGTATGCTGCCAACTCTTAAGACATTTCTAATATTACTTCACTAGTAATTGTTAAAGCTAGCTTATTTATAAAAGATTTTACTTAAGTCACAGAAAGTTTAAAAAGCGTTTGACTAGTTTTTCGTTTTTTTCTGTTAAAGTATGTAAGTGCTTTTATTTTTCTTTAAGCCAATTAATTAGAACTCTTTTATACATTTTTAGTAGTAAAACATGGTGTACACAAGACATAAATATTCAGACATATTAGACATGTCAATAGAAGTACCTTTTATAGATTCCTAAGACCTCCCTTTTCCTAATTTTTAACTGGATCTTTGAGCTCTGGGAAGAGTCCACATTTAATCCCAGGTTTTCAAAAAGTGAGAATTATTCTGAGGCTAGACCAAGTGATGCTTTTACAGTGCTCTTAAAAATAATTTTTTTTCCAAACAAAGACATTTCTAAGCGTCTAAGTTGCACTTTTTCTTAAAAAACCTAGAGTAGCTTCTGTGGCAATAGCTATTAATGAAGAAAACAAAATACAGTCAACTGAGAAGAAAAAATCTTTTGCTCAAAAAGACAAGGTCCTAGGAGAGATACAAACCTGAAGGCCTTTTCAATACAAACATGCACACATGCACACATACATATACACATCTTGGATGTTAGCTTTAAATTAAGGTGACTGTTAACCATTGAGCTCCTAAAAAATAATAATAGTATTTTCCTTCCCAGAGGCCTCTAATCAGGAATGGACCCAATACCTCCCATTTCAAGTTTACGTGGTATCAAAAGGAACAAGACAGATACACAAACAAGTGCAGACAAATTTTGGACAACACAAATGGGAGTGCACTTGGGCAAAACAGACTCAAAACCAATTCAAAACCTGATCTCAACCAAAATGTAAAGCGAGTGTATGAGTGAGCTCGATTGCTTCCCTTGGTAAAACTCTTGATGGGCTTTTGTTACATTCCAGCCTTTGTATAAGGGCACTACTTTTTAAGCTTTTAATATTTAATTTATCCACTCAGTCAGTACCGAAAACAGTTGTTATGGAGGCCTGTGTTAGTGAGATCTGGCCTGCCATAACTTTATTTATGAAACAGATGCCTGACCAGAAGTGGCCCATGGACCTTATTTTGCCACCTGTGCTCTATAGTATCTCATCAGTTAGAAATTAAATTTACTGAAATGTGAGAAAAAACACAAATAACAATTGCTCAAACTTCCTTCCTAGTAATATCAGTCTGTTTCTCATTGACCAATCTGTTTCAAAAAGCCACACTTATCCTAAAGAAAGTTTGGAAAACAGATATCAAACAAGGCACATGATCCCCAAATAAATTGTTACTTGTGATTAAGGAAGAAATACAACCAATTTCTTATTCGAGTTTTTTTTTTTCTTATTCTAGGACATCTTTGATGTAAAGGATAAAAATGAGAATTTAGAATTTGAGAGTTGAACCAGATTTCATAATGACCTGTTTATTTAACTCAAGTTTATACAAGAATAGGGGACAATCTCATCTTAAAGTAGAAACAAGATATTCCTAGAATGTTTTTATTTTTCTTTACTCAGTACAGCATTTGACACAAGATCTGAGAATTCTTGACTTAATGATTTACAAAAAACAGAAACAAAAAAACTAGTCTTTCCCAAATTACAGTGATAAAATACAAGTAGGCCTAAAATATAAAGGGAGTTTCAAATTCTGAAGATTTCACATGAAATGTCTGAACCAAGAGGGCTAGCGCTAATAAATTGCTTTTCAAATCTATTTGCAAAAAGAGAACATTTAGGGGCTCCATGGAATCATAACTCATGGTATGAAAAGGGGAATATATGTCCGTTTTCTTCACTGACAGTTAAGCTGTTTGGAATTTCATTGGTTCATTTCCTAAAGGCTTCTCCTTTGCTCATTTACAGATTCCTGCATAGAAACAATTCATTCTTTGGATGCAAAAGTGTCTCATTCTTAGCTAGTTTAGCCATTTGTATGCTGGTCTGTGTCAGAGTGAGAAAAATCCCCCTTGAGCACTCCTATAGTCTTTTTAAGGCCAATCTTATCTTTACAAACATTTCTGAATCTGCTTTATCATCCTACCCTGGAGAACATGGATTTGATATATATATATATTTTAAGTTAAACATTTTGCTTGTTTTAAAATAGCACACTAAGATAATGCTGCACTATTTAATCCTTTGTTCTTTTTACAGTCTTTTATTCCTTTGAGATCTTTGTCATTTTAATTTTTTGTATCGCTGCATTTCCTAACTTATTTCCCATATAGCTCTTTATTAAAAATATTTTGCATTTAGATCAAATGTATCTGTAATTTAGGAGATCTGTTTTGAACTAATTTTTAAAAGGATTCAACACTATGAGCAGTTTTTCTTTTTAACAAAAATATCTATTTCATTTGATGAGCATGTAAATAACTAATTTATTTCACTTCCCGACCCTAAGTTTGATCCGAGAACACCATCTCATGTCTGATTGTTTCTAATAACCTATTTAAACTACTATTTTAATAAAACAATACATAGTATCCCTTAAGGGGCCAATAATGTATTGCCTCACGGCTTCTTCTGGGTTCTTCTTGTCCATTGCACACACAAAAACAACTCACCGAGAGCATGGTATTACAGCAGAGACAGAATTTAATTAACGCAGAGTTAGCCAAGAGGTGGGACTGGAGTTGTTACTTACGTCAGTCTTCCTGAGAACTCAGAGGCTAGGACTTTTATGAATAATTCAGTGGGCAGGGGCCTGGGGTGCGTATTGGTCTGGGATGAAATTATAATTTCAAAATGGAGGGGTCAAAAATGGTCCCCTGCACTGAGTCTGTTCTCTGGGTAGAGGACACAGGACCAGTAGAGTCATGAATTGCAGGTCCAGGTGGAGTCAGTGGATTGCCAGAATGCAAAAGTCTGAAAATCATCTCAAAAGACCAATCTTAGGTTTTACAATAGTGATGATATCTATAGGAGTAAGTAAGGAAGTCACAAATCTTGTGAGCTTTGGCCACATGATTCCTGAGCATCAAGGGAATATAGAAAGGCAAGCTTAGGGGACAATGGCTGGTTATCAGTTAACTACACTTACATCTTAGAAGAACTCAGGCCCTTCCCATTAGGATTATAGACTTAATAGTCTTACAAATGGGGTTTAGGTTCCTGAGCAAGGAGGAGATTTATTTTAGGTAGGGACTCTTATCATCATCTTTTCAAAGTTAAACTATCAACTAAATTCCTCCTGTGGTTAGTTTGCCTTACGCCCAGGAATGAGTGAGGACAGTCAGCCTGTGAGGCTAGAAGCAAGATGGAGTTGGTCATGGTAGATTTAACTCACTGTCATTGTCTTGGCAAAGGCAGGTTCAATAAAAAGGGTAAGTTTTCATTGGGATGCTGTTGAGGCTGAAAAACTTCTTTTAGCCATCATCTAAAATGAAGATAAATAACTAAATGTAGACACTGAGCTGCAGCATTTAATATGTGTTCACACTCTTGATCTGTCTTGGTTGCCTAGTTTTATTCAGCTCCTATATATGTTATTCAGGCTCAGAAACCAATACACGAAAATATAGTGTTTTGACATGATGAACTAAAGAAAAGCCTCAAGGTTTCTCTGACCTTCTCTCTGCCCTACTCTTTCTCCCAAAAAAGCTGAAGTTCTTTCATCTGCCCATGATACAGAACCACCAAGAAGAAAAATTTTTCTTTCTCCCACTCCCTGTTATCTCACTATCTATTGCAGAAAACAAGACGAAGAATGCAATCACATCTGAACAGACCCTTTCACATATGTACAAGTCAACCTTTGTTCCTGGATCTGTTTACTCTTTCTAGTAATCCCCTCAACAGAGGTTCTTTTCTCTAATTTTCCATAAACTGTTTCATCAGGATGGCATATAAACTCTTGAATCTCACTGGGTGTTTGGGTGTTCATTCTGAAGGTATGTGTTAAATAAATTTGTTTCCCTTTTCTCCTATTAATCTGCCTTATTTCATTGATTTTTTCAACGAAACTTCAGAGGGCAAAAGGGAAGTTTCCCCTTGGCTCCCCTACAAATTTATGTATAAAAAAATTATTCTTGGTGACATTTCTAGAACTTCATATTTCCATTAGCATTATATTTCATCAACGATTGCAAAAACAGAAAAATTCAAATTTTAAACTAACAACAACAGAAAATACTCGTATATTTTTATTTACTAACATGCTCTGTTTTCTGCATAATGTCATCAAAAAATAAAATACTAATTAATTTAAACACTTGTATAACATGATCCAAAAGTTTTTCAAAGCATATCTTCCCACATCTAATCTATATTTCAATTTTCTTGTACATAAGGAATAATATATCTGAAGAGAAATAAAAATAAAATGAGAAAACATGTGGTAACCAAGTAGTTGATTTTTCAAATACTGGTAGTGCTCTTTTTTTTAGTAATTTTATAAAATTATTCTAAATGGAAGTATTACAGATATATGCATGCTTATTGAATGATATGTATCACCTTATTCATCTTGGTATTGGTAGAATGCGGTCCTGAATGCTATTATTTTGAATCTTCAAAGCTCACCTGAATACCTGGAGATTTAAAATAAGTTTCCAGGAAATTTGGGACCAATGTGGTATTTTATTTTTAAATGACAAAGAGGCTCATAATTGCTTATAGGGTTTCTTTTGTGTCTTTCTCTACATTCTATGCATTTTCTATTCTTTACTAAGATATTTTAAAAAATTATTTGGCTAACACTTTTTCATCATAATACCTAGCTATGTTTATTCAATCTTTGCATGTCTTCAATCTGCAATGCATTCTTCTTTAGTTTCTGCCTTTCTCTCCTATACCCAAATATTTTCTTGATCTTAAAATACTTTCCAATCCACCCCCAAGCCCCTATCATCACTATCAGAAAACTATTTTATTCTAGCTAGGTTTTTGCATACGTTGCTAGTCAAAGAATGGAAATCTCCCAGCCCTTCTTAATTTAGTCTCCCAAAATTCTTAACAAAACAGTAATTGAGTGATACATCTACATTGCCAAAAAAAAGGTAAAATCTATTTGGGAGAGATGATACGAATTAAACAGTTTGTGGAGAAGTATATAGTACAATTGTTAAAGGGACTGTTTCCAGGACCACTCACAGATACCAAAATCAACCCACACTAAAGTCCTAAAGTAAAACGGGATAGTATTTGGTTATATCCTACACACATCCTCTCAAATACTTTAATTATCTCTGAATTACTTACAATACCTAATATAATACAATGTAATACTATGTAATAGCAGTTATACTTTACTGGTGTTTTTATTTGTATAATTTTATATAATTATATTGTTTTTGTGTTTTTTTCCAAATATTTTTGATCTGTGATTGGTTGAATTTGTGTATGTGAACCACGCAGATATGGAGGGCCAACTGTATATTGTAAATTGCATACTTTGGAATATAGTCTATGTGAAGATAAATACAAATCAAAGGAGAAAAAACCTCTGGTACAAAAGGGGAAAGACACTCCTCTCATCTCTTTTCTGATAAATTTTACATTAAAAAACATGTCATTGTAAGTTATTTCTCTGCCTCTTTGAAATGTACTTAAATATTATGAAAAGCAAAATAAGCTTCTTGCCAGCTTTTAGAGCAAGTCATATCTTTCTCAAGAACCTGGGAACAATCTCTTTGAAATATAATCTTCAAAAATTGAAGCATCCCGACCTCCCAGTTTTTGTAAGAAGGTAGAAGCCTAATTTAAATAAGCACCTTCCTCCAAATTGCAAAATGAATTCCTGTCATCACAGTATAAGAAGTTTCTTTTTCCTTTGGATAAAAACAATTTACTAATACAAATAGTCACCCCAGTTCCAGGTAAATTTAGAATAAAGCATATGTGACAAATGGTACTTTTGAGTTATTTTACTTGAGGACTAGTTATTATTTATCTTGAAAACATGTATGTAATAGGTTGTATCTGCTCAGTTATCAAAGGGTGAGATTTCTTTTTTGCAACCTCTAGCAGGTTGCTTGTAGTTTGCATCACATTCTGGTTTAATATTTCTTTAATAACAATACTATTTTCTTTCTCACATACCATTGTGTACAAGTTTTCTGTTTCCTGGAGTAACAGAAGTTTTGTTTCAAATGATATTCTTCTAACAACTATCAGGAGCTATTTAGTAAGGTACAAACCATAGTGCAAATACAGTTTGAGAAAGGAGATCACTTATCCCTCTCTTTATCTAATATATAGATTATTAGTGAAAAATATAACATGTATTGGACATTAATATGTTCTTAAATATTGGTATTTAAGATATTAGCATATATTAATGTTAATGTGTTAATATATTATGCATATAAGATGTAATATAGGTAGGCATACCTTCTTTAATTGTGCCTTGTTTTATTGCATTTGACCAATACTGCATTTCTACAAATTGTGGCAACCCTGCATACAGCGTCTATCAGAACCATTTTTCCAAAAGCATGTACTCACTTTATGTCTGTGTCACATTTTGATAATCCTCTCAATATTTCAAACTTTTTCATATTATTATACATGTTATGGTCATCTGTGGTCAGTGCTATTTGATGTTAATATTGTAATAGTTTTTGGGGCTCCACAAACCACATCCATACAAGATGCCAAATTTAATCAATGAATATTGTGTTTACTGACTGCTCCACCCACTGGGTACTCATCCAAGTCTCTTCATCTTCCCAGGCCTCTCTATTCCCTAAGCCATAAAAATATTGAAATTAGTCCAATTAGTAACTTTACAATGGCCTCTAAGTGTTCAAGTGAAAGAAAAAATACCATGTCCCTCCCTTTAAATCAAAAGCTAGAAATTATTCAGCTTAATGAAAAGGGCATGCTGCAAACAGAGATTGGCTGAAAGCTAGATTCTTGCATCAAACCATCAGATATGTTGTCAATGGAAAAGAAAACTACTTGAAAGAAATTAAATGGTAACTTTGGCTGGTCCAAGTGTGCTGGTGTCTATAACTAATTGATCACGACTAGTTACAAATGTCTTTGTTCTTTTTGCACTGTCACTGTTTCAATTAACTAGCTTAAAAAAAGAAAAGTGCTATACCAGTGAACACGCAAATGATAAGATGGTAAAACAGCCTTATTGCTGATCTGGAGAAAGTTTTAGTGGTCTGGATAGAAAATCAAACCAGACATTACAGTTCCTTAAGCCAAAGCATAATCCAGAGCAACGATCTAACCCTCTTCAATTCAGTGAAGGCTGACAGAGGTGAGGAAGTTGCAAAAGAAAAGTTGGAAGCTAGCAGAGGTTAGGTCATAAGATTTAAGAAAAGAATCCACCTCCATAATATAAAATTACAAGGTGAGGCAACAATTGTAGATGTACAAGATGCAAAAAGTTATCCAGAAGACCTAGCTAATATTACTGATGAAGATGGCCACAGTAAACAACAGATTTTCAACATAGATGAAGCAGCCTTCCGTTGGAAGAAAATGCCATCTAGGAATTTTATAGCTAGAGGTAATAAGTCACTGCCTGACTTCAAAGTTTTAAGGACAAGCTGTCTCTCTTATTAGGGGCTGTATTAGTCTGTTCTCATGCTGCTAATAAAGATATATCTGTGATGGGGTAATTTATGAAGGAAAGAGTTTTAATTGATACACAGTTTCATATGGCTGGGGAAGCCTCACAATTATGGCAGAAGGTGAATGAGGAGCAAAGTCATGTCTTACATGGCAGCCTGCAAGAGAGCTTGTGCAGGGGATCGCCCATTTATAAAACCATCAGATCTCTTGAGACTTATTCACTAACATATGAACAGTGTTGGGGAAACTGCCCCCATGATTCAGTTATCTCCACCTGGCCCTGCCCTTGACACGTGAGGATTATTACAATTCAAGGTGAGATTTGGATGTGGACAGAGCCAAACCATATCAAGAGCCAATGTATTAATAGCTGGTGACTTCAAGTTAAGCCAATGCATATTTACCATTCTGAAAATAAAAGGATACTTAAGAATTGTGCTAAACCTATTCTGCTGTGCTCTATAAATAAAACAACAAAGCATGGAAAACAGCCCCTCTGTTTACAGTGTGGCTTAATGAATATTTAAAGCCTACTATTGAGACCTACTGCTCAGAAAAAAAGACTCATTTTAAACAGTACTGCGCACTGACAATGCATTTAGTCACCCAAGAGCTCTGATATAGCAGAAGTATTAATGTTGTTTTCATGCCTGTGGACAAATAATCCATTCTGCAGTCCATGGATCAAGGAGTAATTCTGACTTTCAAGTCTTATTATTGAAGAAACACATTTCCTAAGACTGTAGCTGCCAGAGATTCCTCTGATAAATCCAGGCATTCAATTGATAATTTTTTGGAGAAGATTCGTCATTCCAGATGCCATTAAGAACATAACTGATATTATGGAAGGTGGTTAAAATATCATCATTACCAGCAATTTGGAAGAAGATTCTGACCCTCATGGATGACTTTGAGGGGTTCAAGATATCAGTAGAGCTAATAACTGCAGATGTGGTAGAAACCGCAAAAGAAATGGAAATAGAAGTGGAGTCTGAAGATAGGACTGAATTGCTGCAATTTCATGACAAAAGTTAATTAAACAAATGAGTTTGTTTATAGATAAGCCTAGAAATTAGATTTCTTGAGAGGAGATCTATATGATAAGGATGCTGTGAACATTGTTGAAATAGCAACCAAATGTTTAGAATAGCAGTTGCTGCTCAACTGATAAAGCAATAGCAGGATTTGAAAGGACATATCTCAATTTTGAAAGAAGTTCTACTGTATGTACTGTGAGTAAAGTGCTTTCAAACAGTATCGCATACTACAGAGAAATCTTTCATGAAAGAGTCAATAGATGCAGCAAACTTCATTGTTTTCTTATTTTAAGCAATTGCCACAGCCACTCCATCCTTCAGCAACCACCACTTTGATCAGTCAGCAGTCATCAACATCAAACCAAGAGCTTCCAGCAGCAAAAATATTTTGACTCACTAGAGGCTCAGATAATCATTAGCATATCTTAGCAATAAATTATTTTTAATTAAGGTATACACATTGTGTCTTTTAGACCTAACATTTTTGTACACAGTAGATTACAGGGCAAGATATATATATATATAACTTTTATATACACTGGGAAACCAAAACATTTTTGCGATGTGCTTTCTTGCAATATTTGCTTTATTGAGGTGGTCTGCGACCAAACCCACTATATCTTCAAGGTAGGCCTGTATTATATGGAGTGACAGGAGAGAAAGATAAGTGAGATCTTTTTTCTCAAACTAATTTTCTGTTTTTTATTACATGAAAGGGGATAATGTTTATTCTTACCTAATTGGATTCTTGTGTAAATTAAAGATTATATATGTGAAGTGTTAAACAGTGAATTCTTATATTACAGTCAGTACATAGCAATGGGATGACTTATATCAGGGCAGTCACATCAATACTGCAAGGTTCCTAGAATCAGACGGAACTCCATCTCTACTTTTTGGAAGCTCTGGGGCTAGGAGACAAACCTCAGTGAATTTTTTGTTCCTCAATTGTATGAGGAAGAATGAGAAGACTTACTATTTAAGTATGAACACTATATAAGATATATAGTAATAGTTCTGTGAATACTTGCACTTATTTTAAAAATGTTTTTATGCAAAGAGGAAGAGAAAGAGGTAAGGAATATCAGGCAAGGGGAAGAAAAGGAACCCCAAGAACAACAATAAAAAAAGCATACTGAGCAGGGTGTTGAGAAGACTCGCATCTCAGCAAATCATTTTATATTTGTAGGAGAAACATACTGTCTATAACTCATAGAATATGGTGCCAGATGATCAGAGAATTTAAAAGCATCATTAACACTTTAATGTAAATATATAGTTGGCAATGGGACATATCTTCTCTTCATTCTGAAAATTCTGCATTGTTATTTGAAGACTTTTGTCTATTTTTCTACTAGACTTTCTTTCTGTTTTAATTGATTTATAAGACTTATAGAATAACTGTAATTCCTGGTGTAGGAATTACAAATACATATAATGAAAATGTCTTCTCTTAGTCTGCAGCTTGCTTTTTTATTATATTAATGGAATCTATGATGAACAAGGTTCCTTCATGTTAACACTGTCCTCTGTATCATTTTTTTCTGCCATAGATAACACTTTTATGCAACCTGTTGAAGAAAGCTCTGCTTATCTTCTCTTATGCTTTTAAAAGCTTTATGGTTTGTATTTTACATTTGCATGGAAAAATCCAGTAAGAATTTATTTTTGCATATGATGTGAAGTAGTCCAGACAGCTATTTTTTCTTTTATGGATTTCTATTCAACCCAGCACCACATATTAAAAGTTTTCCCTTAATTTTACTTTTTAAAATTAAATCAAATGAATATACATGTATGAGTCTGTTTCTATAATGTACTCTGTTCCAAGGCTTAATTCATTTAACCTTGTGTCAGTAGTAAACTGTTCCCATTCCTATGGCTTTACAGTAGATCCTTGATATATGGCAGTGTAAATTTCCTACCTTTGTTCTTCAAAATTGACTTGGCTATGCTTGGCTTTGCATTTCCGTGTAAATTTTAGGACCAAATTATAAATTTCCATGCAGCAGAAAATCTGCAGAGATTTTTATTGGAATTCTTCTTTATTTATTTATTTATTTATTTATTTATTTATTTATTTTTTTATTTTTTTTTTTTTTTGAGACGGAGTCTCGCTCTGTCGCCCAGGCTGGAGTGCAGTGGCGGGATCTCGGCTTACTGCAAGCTCCGCCTCCCGGGTTCACGCCATTCTCCTGCCTCAGCCTCCCAAGTAGCTGGGACTACAGGCGCCCGCCACTACGCCCGGCTAATTTTTTGTATTTTTAGTAGAGACGGGGTTTCACCATTTTAGCCGGGATGGTCTCGATCTCCTGACCTCGTGATCCACCCGCCTCGGCCTCCCAAAGTGCTGGGATTACAGGCGTGAGCCACCGCGCCCTGCCGGAATTCTGCTTTTCTAGAGATCAATTATTGAGACTTGGAATTGCAATATTGACTCTTCCAATAAATAAGCAGAAGATAACCTAGTTTACATAGGTGTTGCTTAATTGTTCTCAATAAAATTTTATAATTTTCTGGGTAGAATCCTCACACAAGGTCTCGATTTATATAAAGGTGTTTGAATTTTTCTGCTATTTCTAGTGGTATTGTTATTAATTGTCCACAGGATAGTTCTAAAAAACTACACACTGATTTCTAGCAAAATTAAAAGGAAATTATACTAAGGTGATTAACAATGACCTAACCCACAGCTTTGATGCATAAATTTTAATATTTTTGAAATTCCTTTTTTGCATAGTTTTTCTTTATCTTTTTGGTATTATTTTTCTATACCCTCATCTTTGTATATAACCCAACACATAGAAATCTTCCTGACATTTCTTATGGAGTAAAAAAACCTGCTACAATATCAAACCTTCCTAAGAAAACTAGAAAAAAATTCTCTAAATGTACTTATAATGGAGAAATTTGATGTGTTTTTAAGAATAAAATAGATGGAATATCTGTTGAATAATTACATTAACGATATGCCTATTTTTCATTTCTAGGACAAATTCATGAAATAATGACACTAATACCCCCTCCTCTCTTTCTGTCTCATATATAAAATATATAATAAATATAAAAAATAATGTATTTTAATTATCAAATAATTGTATATAATAATACACATTATACTATATATATCATAAAACTTATTATATAATACATAATAAAGTCTATGAGATATACGATTTTTTACTGTGCACCTAATGCATACACAAACACATGCAAGCACCCCAAGAAGATGTACAATATTTCCAGCACTTCATACATTTCCACTGTGAGTCTTGCCAGTTCATATTCCCTCAGAGGTCACTAATGTGACTTCTATGAATATCTACTAGTTTTGTTGCTTCTTGAAATTCATATAACTGGGATCATGAAGTTTGTGTTCTATTTGTCTGGTTTATTTCAGTGAATATATTATTGGTGAAATAGAACATGTTGTTGCAGGCACCAGTATTTGTTCCTTCTTTTTTTCTTTTAATTGCTGTTTCATTGAATGAATACTACTATTTTACAAAAATGAACTACTATTTGTTTTACCTTTCACCTGTTGATGGCATTTGGTTGCTTCTAGTTGGAATTTTATGAATAAAGCTGCTATGAACACTCCTTTTCAACTCTTTTGCTGGAAAAACTCATTTATGTATCTTAGGTATATACTTTGGAGTTTAATTATTGGATCATAGTGTAAGCATTACTTAATTTTAGTGCAAACTGTCACATTCACATACTCCCTAGCAACGTAAAAGAAATTCATCTATTGCCTCACCAATACCTGGTATTGTCAATTGCTGTTAAAAGTGTAGTCATTTTAGTTGGGGTGTATTAGTATCTCATTCTGTTTTTCATTTGCATTTCCCATAAAGAATAAGTTAAGCACATATATATCAGCAATTTAGGGTAAATGTTGTTTTGTGAAGTTCATGTTCTAGTCTTGGAACAGTTTTTTTTTTTTTTTAATTGGATGGCCTATATACATGTATATTTTTGTCTTTCTCGGTTTTTTGCTTGTTCCTTCAGAGCTGTATTCCCATTGCCTACAACACTGCTTGATCCTAGAAAGGCATTCATTAAATAATTATTGAATAGAAAAGTAAATGCATGAATTAGTTTACCACACACCCCAATATCTTGTTTTATTGTATTGTGTTTCCCCTTCACCTCTCAATGTCATTGCTACTACAATCCCTTCACTACTCAAATATATTAATAAATTTCTTAGCAATATATTTTTCCTGAAAAAAGCTTTACTCTCTGCATGTATTTTTTTATTAAAAATGGTGTTTTTAATGAACACCATGTTAATATCTTCCATGTTTAATATTTAATATTGTACACTTATGTCAAAACATTAGCATCAATATATTAAAACTCATTGCTGTATAGTGTCCAGTTACACATATTCCTCAGACTATGCTCATCCACATTCTGAATTGTGCCCAAATCCCTGATAGTACAAATAGTGCTACAGTGAACATGCTTGTACATATTCTTATTTTCATGTTCATTAATGATATGGTTTGGCTGTGTCCCCACCCAAATCTCACCTTGAATTGTAGTTCCCATAATCCCATGTCATGGGAGGGACCTAGTGGAAGGTAACTGAATCACGGGGGTGCTTACCTCCATGCTGTTCTTGTGATAGTGAGTTCTCACAAGATCTAATGGTTTTATAAAGGGCTTTCTCCTCCTTCACTCTGCACTTCTCCTTGCTGCCACCATGTGAAGAAGTACATGTTTGCTTCCCCTTCCACCATGATTGTAAGTTTCCTGAGGACTCCCCAGCCATGCTAAACTGTGAGTCACTTAAACCTCTTTCCTTTATAAATTATCCAATCTCAGGTATGTTTTTATTAGCAGCATGAGAATGGACTAATACAGTATTGGTACTGGGAGTGGGGCACTGCTGTAAAGATACCCAAAAATGTGGAAACGACTTTAAAACTGGGTAACAGGCAGAGGCTGGAAAAGTTTGGAGGGCTCAGAAGAAGACAGGAAAATGTGGGAAAGTTTGGAACTTCATAGATACTTGTTAAATGGCTTGGACCAAAATACTGGTAGTGATATGGAAAATAAAGTCCAGGCTGAGGTGGTCACATATAGAGATGAGGAACTTTTTGGGAACTGGAGCAAAGGTGACTCTTTATAATCATGTACTTTAGGAAAGAGACTGGCAGCATTTTGCCTCTGCCCTAGAGATCTGTGGCACTTGGAACATGAGAGAGATGATTTAGGGTATCTGGTGGAAGTCAGTTCTAAACAGCAAAGCATTCATGATGTGACATGGGTGCTCTTAAAAGCATTCAGTTTTATTCATTCACAAAGAGATGGTTTGAAATTGGAAATTATGTTTAAAAGGAAAGCAGAGCATAAAAGTTAGGAAAATTTGCAGCCTGAGGATGCGAAAGAAAAGAAAAACCCTTTTTCTGAGGAGAAATTCAAGTCTGCTGCAGAAATTTGCATAAGTAATGAGAAGCCAAACATATATAATCACCAAGACAATGGGGAAAATGTCTCCAGGACATGTCAGAGGTCTTCCAGCAGCCCCTCTCATCACAGGCCCAGAGACCTAGGAGGAAATAATGGTTTTGTGGGCATGGCCCAGGGCCTTGGTGTTTTGTCCCATCTCAAGACTTGGTGCTCTGCGTTCCAGCCATGGCTAAAAGGGACCAAGGTACAGCTAGGGCCATGGCTTCATAAGGTTCCAGCCCCAAACCTTGGCAGCTTCCTCATGGTATTGAGCCTGTGGATTCACAGATGCCAAGAATTGAGGATTGGGAACCTCTTCCTAGATTTCAAAGGATGTATGGAAATGCCTGGATGTCCAGGCAAAAGTCTGATGCAGGGGCAGGGCCCTCATGAAGAACCTCTGCTAGGGTAGTATGGAAACAAAGTGTAGGGTTGGAGCCCCCACACAGAGTTTCCACTGGGACACTGCCTAGTGGAGCTCTGAGAAGAGGGCCACCTTCCTCCAGTCCCCAGAATGGTAGATCCACTGACAGCTGGCACCATGCACCTGGGAAAGCTGCAGACACTCAACACCAGCCTGTGATAGCAGCCAGGAAGAGGGCTGTACCCTGCAAAGCCACAGGGGCAGAGCTGCTGAAGGCCGTGGGTGCCCACCTCTTACATCAGCATGACCTGGATGTGAGACATGGAGTCAAAGGAGATCATTTCAGAGCTTTAAGATTGACTGCCCTGTTGGATTTTGGAATTGCATGGGGCCTGGAGCTCCTTTGTTTTGGTCAATTTCTCCCATTTGGAATGGGTGTATTTACCCAATGCCTGCACCTCCATTGTATCTAGGAAGTAACTAACTTGCTTTTATGTTTACAGGCTAATAGGCAGAAGGGACTTTCCTTGTCTCAGATATGACTTTGGACTTGGACTTTTGGGTTAATGCTGGAATGAGCTAAGACTTTGGTGGAGTGTTGGAAAAGCATGATTGTGTTTTGCAATGTGAGGACATGAGATGTGGGAGGGGCCAGGGATAGAATGATGTGGTATGGCTCGGTCCCCACCCAATTCTCATCTTGAATTGTAGTTCTCATAATCCCCACATGTTGTGGAAGGGATCTGGCAGAAGGTAACTGAATCATGAGAGCGGTTACCTCCATTCTGTTCTTGTTACAGTGAGTGAGTTCTCATGAGATCTGATGGTTTTACATGGGGCATTTCCCCTTTCACTTGGTACTTCTCTATCCTGCCATCATATAAAGAAGGATGTGTTTGCTTCCCCTTCCACCATCACTGTAAGTTTCTGGAGGCCTCCCCAGCCATGCTGAACTGTGAGTCAATTAAACCTGTTTTCTTTATAAGTTACCCAGTCTCAGGTATGTCTTCATTAGCAGTGTGAGAATGGAGTAATACAATAAGTTTTTTGACTATTCATCTATATCTATCAATCTATATATATTGATTTATGTATCTATATTGGGATTGACATAGATGTGCTCAATTTCACTAACCATTTGATGATTTTTTTTTGGTGGCTATCTCAATCAACAATCCCATCAGCAGTACATGAGGTTTCACATTTGCACTCAGTCTCTCTAACATCAGATTTTCTGTTGTCTGCCATTCTGATTGCCAAAACAGCCATATCATTCTTTTAATTTGCATTTCTCTGCTTATAAAATAGTCCAAGAGCCTTATAATATATATTCTGGACATTAAAATTTCTTTTTATAATAATAGCATACTATATCAGTTACTTGCTTTCTAAATGATTTCCTTCACTTTTCTCTTTGATTTTCAAAAATTCATTACATAATCTAAATATCAATTCAACAGTCATAGGTATAGGGGAAAACATGTGTTTCAATCTGAAGAAAGTACTTTAACATCATGACTGCTGAATTGTATGACAAGTATATTTAGTCTTGTAAGAAACTGCCAAACCCTTTGTTTTAAGTGGCTGTATCATGTTTCATTCCTATCAGCAATGAATAAGAATTCCTGTTGTTCCACATTCTCACTAGGGTATAATGCTCCCACGTTATTGTTTTAATATGCAATTTCTTATTTATATATGATGCTGAGCATTTCTTTATATGCTTATTTGGCATTTGTATATCTTATTTGTTGAAGTGTTTGTTTAGATCATTTGCCCATTTTTTAAATTGGGTTGTTCGCTTTCTTATTAAGTTTTAAGAAGTCTTTTATATTTGGGATACAAGTCTCTTATTAGATATACATTTTGAAAAATTTTCTTTCCATCCATAACTTGTCTTTTCATTTACTTAAAAGTAACTTCTAAAAGTTTAATAATGTCGAGTTGTATATTTACATCTCTGATCCATATTTAGTTAATTACTGTGGAAACAACCGGATCTCTGTCTAGCTTCAAATTTTAGCATGAGAATGTTCAATTGTTTCACACCATTTGTTGAAATGGTTGTCCTTTATCCTTTGTATTGCCTTTGCTCCTTTGTCAAAGATCAATTGAGTGAATTTGTGTGACTCTATTTCTGGACTCTCTCTTCTGTTCCATTGATCTATTTGTCTATTATTTTATAAATACCATGCTATCTTGATAACTATAGCTTTATACTATGTCTTAAAGTCAGGTAGGGTCAGTCCTATATCTTTGTTGTTCTTCAATGTTATTTTTGCTATTTTAGGTCTTTTGCTATTCCCTAAAAACATCAGAATCAGTTTGTTGATATTCACAAAATAACTTGCAGAGATTTTAATGGGTATTGCATTGAATCCATAAGTCACGTTGGAAAAACCTGGCAATCTAATAATACTGAGTTTTTCTATCCATGAATATAAAATATTAACCAATTTATTTATATCTTCTTGATTTCTGTAATCAGATTTTTCTAGATTTCCTCATACAGGGGAAATATATGTGTTATATATTTTGTGATATTTATACTAAGTATTTTATTTTTGTTGCTAATGTAAATATATTGTGTTTTTCGTTTCATTTTACATTTTTTCATTGCTGGTTTGTAAGAAAGCAATTTAATTCTGTATATTAACTTTGTATCATGAAACCTTACTATAAACACTTACTAATTCCAGGAATGCTGCCAATTACTTGAGATTGTCTACATAGACAATAATGTCTTATATGAAGAACACAGTTTTATGTCTTCCATTACAAAATGTATACCTTTTGTTTCCTTTTATTGTTTTATTGCATTAGCTAAAACTTCTAGTATGCTATTGAATAGGAGTCACGAGGGGGTACAAACTTGCCTTGTTCCTGATAATAAATGGAAAGTGTAATTGCCCAACATGTTCTTCCTGCTTGCTGCACAGATAAAACCAGTTCATTGACACCACAGTATTGCAGTAGACAGAGTTTAATTATGCAGAGCTAGTCAAGTAATAGCTTGGGGTAATCACTCTATGCCTATATATTAGTTCCAACATCTAATTCGTCTTGGGTTTTGTCTTCATTGATTACTTGTCTTTTGTGAATACTCCTGTCTTTCTGTTTTACATATGTTGAGAAACTTTGGATTGCATCCGGTGCATTGTGTAAAACATGTCTTAGCAATTGAATTCTATTATGTTCTTCCAAAGAGTATTTTTTTAATGATGAGAAGGGACTCAAAACAGTTTTTGTGTTGTGATTTCTGTTTGTTTTTTCTAAGCTTACCTGTGCTACTTGGAGTCATCTGCAGGCATTTATGGTTCATGAATTAACCAATACTTTGAGCAAAATTATATCAAGAATTGAGGCTTCCCTTATCTGTCTCTCTTCTTTCTTGGATTTCACTGCCTCTGTTTATGGTTGCTGTTGCAATGATTTCTACAACCTAGACCTTCTCATCAAACCAATACATTTACTATTGAAATTCTATACCCTGTCCTTAAATTAAAAGCTGTAAGCATAGGGAAACTCTTTCAGTGCCATTTCCTTCCTAAGAGTATAAGTTCCCTTCTTCCCTAAGTTCCCTTCTTCCCTTCAGTATCTGCCTGCTACTCCCAGTGCCTTCTAGTCATCTTTTTAATTCTTTATTTGCTGTTTTTAGTTATAAGGACAAGTTGGTCTGCTAGGGGGTATGTAGCCATATTGGAAATAATACCCTTGGAACACAGTGAACTTCTGAAATTTGATTTTGGATAGGGTAACTGCTGAATTTATAGGACTATGTACATTTATATATGCATGCTGTTATGATGTCTTTTATAAGCAAAATAAATCAAGAAATCATTATTATTGGATCCTATACCTCTATTTCTTATTTTCTCTGACTTAATGCTTTGTCTAGAAGTTTCAGTATATTGTAAGAAGTAGTGGTAATAATGCACATCCTTTTTTTTTTAGTTGAAATGTTTTGAGATATTTTTTCTTTTAAGTAGGCTGTAAGTAAGATGACTTGCCACAAAAGTTCTGTAAGGAGGAAAAACAAACTTTTTCCAACTCATACTGAAAAAATTTCAATAAATCTCCAATAGCAACTTATGATGAAAACACTCAAAACTAAGCAACTTACTTTGTTGAATTTAGCTACCAAAGGGGTATGTGTGTGCATGCACATGTCATCTTACTAGATTTTGTGACATTATATCATGCTAGCATTCTAGGAATAAACCATTTTGGAACTTAATAAATTTTAATACACTTTACATTTTTTTCTATTTTTAAATTTTGTATTTTAATACAAATTTAAATTCTTTTTTTGTTTGTTTGAGAGTCTCACTCTTTGCCCAGGCTGGAGTGCAGTGGTGCAATCTCAGCTCACTGCAACCTCTGCCTTCCAGGCTCAAGTGATTCTCATGCCTCAGCCTCCTGAGTAGCCGGGACTACAAAGCCAATTTTGAATCAATTTCTATGTTTATATACATCCTATTGGTTCTGTTTCTCTGAAGAATCTAGTAAAACTCTTTTCTGTGTAATGAGTGAGAGAAAGGGATTATATATTTTAGAGTTTGCAAAGACTAATCTATAAAAACATCTCAACCTGGAATTATTTCAGGGGTTCAGTATTTTATTATCATTCATTTTGTCTTTTGGCTATTACTGTATTTAAATTTTCACATAATATTTTCATTTGGTTATTTCTTTTGACTGCTTACTTCTTTTTCATAGTCCCAATATTTTTAATTATATGTTTCAGATATTTCTAATGCTTAATTTTGGTTTGGCAAGGGAAGTCTGTCCAATTATTTATACTTTTTGTCCTATTCTTTTCCTTTCTTCCTTTTCTATTATTATTACTAGTATTATACAAAATTAGAAATCTAAAATTTCCTAATTTTATTCTTTGAGTTAATAGTCTCTTAGGAATAACAGCTACATTGGCTGGGAATATATAGCCCAGAAAATTGGTACCATCCAGACTCTGAATTACATATTCCAAGATGAATTCAGAAAGTGGGTGTGGAAAATGTTCCTCAATGTAGAGAAGCTCTTTTGTTACAATCTGAGCACATCGACTCAATCCATTTTCCTGCCTCAACACATACTCAACCAGGAGACTTTTTTACTTCGCTGGGCATTGCTCACACCCAGGGAGTTCTCCTCTTGGTTTTAAGCACTGGGACAACTGCGGTCACAGAGAATAAAGACAAGGACAGAAATCACAAAGACTGACCACTCTATCTCTACCTTTTCTTCTTCTTCATCACAGCCAGTTTAGTAATGCCACACCTTCTCCTCCCTTCTACTTTGCTTGTTATTCTTCTTCTTTTTTTTTTTTTTTAAAGTTATAAGTAATGGGACAGGTGGGGAGTGATACCATCAGGCAATTTGGAGAAAAGAAAAAGGGAAAAACAACAATGCTCTTCTTCTGTCTGTCCTTGTGCCTCTGGCCTTCTTCTAATCTGACATCAGGACTTGCCACATTGTGCCTCTCTAGGGGCTCCTCTAGGTTTCAGTGGTCTGAGATCTGTTAACTTATTTCTTGCTTTTGTGGCATCTCCCAGGTTAAGATCTGGGAAAAAAAAGCCAGCTTCCTATGCTCATCCTGTCAGAAGCCAAGAGTCAAAAATTTTTTTTTTCTGTATCATTTTAATTTAAATGCCCCACTTCTTCCACTGAGGCAATTTAAAAATTAGATATAGAGAATTAGAACAATTAGAATTAAAAATAAATGTAACTTTTGAAAAGGTACGGGAAGATAAATCCTCCCCATTTTGAGGGAGCTAATAAATATGCCTTAGCACAAAATTTGAATCTCTATTTTCCATAAGTTAATGAAAGTTGCAAAGCTGGCCCTTATTCATGGACATACACAAATCCATTTGCAGGGACAATTTTTTCCTAGACAGTCTCTGAATTTCCATAGCACTTAACTCCTGATTGTAACCACTGGAATAGGTTTTTTCTTCCTGGAGAGTCTAAATATTCTGAGTAGGCCAATCTAAGGTTTCTTATGGGCTGTCACTGGGTTGAGACATTAACTGGTATTTATTCCAGAATGGAAAGTACTTGTTGTAGACTTTCTAGAATTTTCTGAATCTCTCATTTCTTTCCCC